>NC_000004.12:90133502-90436532 GCF_000001405.40 Homo sapiens | reverse complement strand
TTAATTTCCTTCTAGCTGTAAGCTTTTATTATTGCTCTGCTTTGAGGTTTGAAATACAAGCGGTATTTTCAAATGTGCCTTGCACCTTGCATTCACAATATTTACATCACTGCTAAGCTGTGTACAGTTCTGTTTTCTATTTTGAGTTGAACTTAGTTTTCTGCTGAAAGTTCACACAACAAATTTATAAGCATCTAAATTTTATTTAGAATTTTGTTTGTTAGATTTTCTTAAAAGACAACCCAAATTAAGTTCCAGAAAAAGACATATTTGCTTATTCATGATTAATAACACCATTAATCAAGACATGATCTCTCACTTAAATATAACTGATTATGCTAGTATACCTAAGTAAAAACACAACCCTAATTTGTAAAGATTGCTATTATTTTTTCTGTTATGTGCTTTAATTCAAGTTTAATTTTTATCTGTGTCAAGCTATCTTATATGTAAGTGAAACATAATTTTCTAGTAATTTATAATATCATGAATATTAACATTTTTGCATTTTGACTTAAACAAGTTGGGAACATTATACGCCATTTAAATGAAATAAAGCAGTTAAAATTAAGCAAGGTAAAAATTAAAATAGCCCTTGTGTTTGATTGGTTTATAGTCCATAAACAATTTAATATCTAACATATATAGATTGAAAAAAAAAATCTAAGATTTTTTTGAAGTATTCACCAACAAGAAATACTTCAAACATACTAGTCTCTATTATCTGCTGCCCTGGAATAAACCTTAATACTCATTGAAATTTTACGTATCATTACCTGAGGCAGTCATGTATTACACAGCTTAGGTGAAGAACAGTTAAATTAAAATACTGCCACATTAATGGTATACATAAATCAGCACAAGTAAAACACTGTTAATTTGCCATCACTAAATGTCTCCCAACCTCTTACAGAGATTCAAACTTAATTAAGGCCAAAGGAATAATTTTTACTAGCCTAGTGGTAAGTTACGAGAATATTATAATGCTATTACTCTATTATTCTTTTACTCAAGAGATAAACATTCCACAGAATTTATCAATAGAAGGAGCACAATATTGGAGTTAATTCATTTAGTTTCTTCCTCAGTACATGATAATCATAGGATCTATATTTTAAGAGATGAGATCCCTCTCTAGGAGAAACAGGGCTTCTGTTTCTTTTATTTTTATTTTACTAAGAAGTAAATTAATTTTGAATTGAATGGCCCAATATCAATATGAAATATTTACAAATATTTTTAACATCTTTATTTAAGCTATTATTCAATAAACAGAAGCTTTAAAAAGTCTGCAGAAAATTTTCTGACAAAAACATTAATACATTTAGCTTTCTTCCTATTCTTCACGCATATATATTTATTATTTTCCTTGTCTTTTTATAGTAATGAAATCTGAGTTAGTAAAGCTGAGGAAACTGTACTATTTGCTTGTTTTTAATGTGTTATCATATTAAAATCAAAGGTCAAAAATTACTTTTGCTTGTATTAAAAGAACAAAATCAAAACAAAGAAGAAGAAGCAGTGAGAAAGCTCATGATCCTGACATGGCTGGAGGCTCCCTAGGTACCATTTACATTCACGCAGAGGCCAATACCAACCACATTGTTGTCCGATATGAAAATGACAAGACGAAAAGAAGTGGGGAAAAGGATTTAACAAGTAAAATAATCTAAACGCTGCTAAAATTTTATGAATGCCTTCAAACTACAAGTTTGATCATAGTCTGTCCCTACATAGAAAATCTTTACCAAATCCCCAACTACTAATAAGATAAAGCAAAAACTCTCTAGTATTGAATGCAAGGTTCCTCAAATCAGCCACCACTAGCTTCACAGGCTCATCTCCCATCTTCCTTTCTCATCACACCAAACTGCTTGCTGTATCCCAAATACCCTCTGGTCTTTTATGTTTCTGCTTTTTACCCAAGCTGTTCTCTCTGCCTTTAATATGGTGCTTCATTTCCTTCTCAGCTCAACAAACTGCTTCTTATCATTTAAAACTAAAGTCAAATGTTATATTTTTGAAGTTCTTCAGTTCTGCTGGGTTTTAGTAATTGTTGTGGCTCCCAATAAATTTTACCACCATGTGAGGCTATAAGCCTGGAAAAAATGATGGCCACATTTCCCTATGTCTAAGAATACATACAGGTAGAAAAGGGTTAAAAATTCAGCTTGCCATTTTAAAACAGGGCAGGGTAGAATTATTTAAATATGAGGGGCTACTAGTAAATTGTTCTATTTTCTTATCTAACCATTTACAATACATTTTTCATCTGAAAATAAAATATCAAAAATTATTTTTGCTTAACTTAAAAGGAAAAAATGGATATGAAGAGAAATAAATGAAAAAGCTCATGCATAATCTGTTATCACTAGGGATAAACTAGAATTCTGTTAAGGACAATATGACAGATATAAAAGACAAATAAAATTCAAAAGAGAAAACTGACAAAGAGAAACAAAAAACCTTCAACCATAATTGTGGGGAAAAAGTTGTAACTTCGAATAATATATAATCTTTTAAACTATAAAAATATTAAAAACTTAAAGATGATAACAATCCTAAAGAGAATATGGTAAAATAGTTCCTGTCATATGCAGCTATTGGCCTATAATTTTATTTAAACCTCTTGTCTTACAATTTGCATATATATATATATATATCTCCAGGAAATCAAAATTATGAACATCCATTCATTCAAAAATACCATTATATGTGCTGTCCTAAGAAATTAGGGTGCAATTTTATGCAAAAGATTTAAATTATGATATTATTAGAAGAAAAGATAGAAAACCATCAAAGGTTCCACATTAAGCAGATTTTTAAATAAATTGCTATATTTTATTTTTTGATAGACTATAGCATTATAGTAAAGAGCCTGACTTTGTAAATCAGGCTACCTAACTTGCTGTGTAGTCCACATTTTAATGTATACTCGGTGTGAGTCACTATGCTAAGATTTGATGGTACTGCTGTCATTATCATGCTAAAGACAAGGAAACATTAGGGTTTTTAATATCTTGGTATCATTATGAAAATAGTTTTGACATCATGAATTCCTAGAAATGGTCTTGGGGACTCTTAAGAGTCCCTTGACCATACTTTAAGAACTATAGGTCTAAGAAATTAATAATTGTCATTCAATCCCCTTGGTAGATTAGTCAATAATGAGCAATTTTATCCCTATTACAAGAGCCTGTAGAATTTATCAAGATATTAGAACATGTAAAACTTAAAAAGGAGGAGTCAAGGGTGGCCCGAACACTTAGCAACTGAAAGAATAGACTTAATAGTTGTTGAGATTAATTATAATGGAAAGAGCAAAATGTGGGGCGCTAATGCACAAAAATCAGGAGTTTGGTTTGGGACATGTTTCAGAGGCCTCGTAAACATCCATGTGAAGATCTCAAGTAGATAGTTAATATACATATATGTCTGCAGTGCAGGGGAAATTTATGGGATAAAGATAGAAACTTAGAGGCTTTGTGATTTACCACCACTTAAAGCTAGGAGATTTGATGAAACTATCAAAGTTGTAGGTATAAGCAAAGTAGGAAGAAAGTCTAAGAACTGAGCTTTAAAACATACCAAACGTGGAGATGGGAGGTACCTAGGTAGGGAGATTTTGAGGAAGGCAGAAAAACAGAAGAATATACTTCCCCAGAAATCAAATTAAGAATTCGAGGAAGGAGTAACAACTAGTATTTACTCAATGCTGAATGTCTTGGTTTTTAATGTTCATTGTTGAAAATAATGCTTAGAACTGTCTTATTATTTAAGCCCAGCAGGGTGACACATACCCATAGTCTCAGCTACTGGGGAGACTGAGTGGGGAGGATTGATTGATTGTGGGATTTTCAGGCCAGCCTGGGCAACACAGTAACACCCAGTCTCCAAACAGAAGAAAAGAAAATAAAGAAAGAGAGAAAGAAAGAAAGAAAGAGAGAGAGAGAGGAAAGAAGGAAGGAAGGAAGGAAGAAGGGAGGGAGCAAGGGGAAGAAGAACAAGAAGGTGGAGGAAGAAGAAAAGAAGAAATATTTTATGATTCAGGCATGTGTTATGAACATTGTACTGAAAAGAAAAAACATTACAATGTCGTTAAGTAACTAGTTATGTTCACAAAGTTAGTGTCAGAACTGGAGTTCACAAAGAGTTGTGGCTGACATAAGAGCCTGATTCATTTATCCCAGACAGAAAACCATACATGCAGGTGACTGCACAGCAAAAGCTAAGCCCATCTCTCATTTTTTTGAACAACAAATAGCAAATTTTTTTGACAACTGCCTCTGATTAAGACTTTATTTTATGAAATAAGAAGATTACTACCATAAGTATTATGTCATTATTTTTAAGGTTATAGTTACTAAGACTTTGCATAATGACTCTATCATGTAATAACTCAAATTTTATTTATTGATCCTTTCAAAACAGTATTTTTCAGGACTATGTGCCAGAACACATTTATTCTCTGGCACTACCCAAGATTTCTAGACCCATGGGGAGATCTAGGGGGTTAAAAATTAAAGAAGGTGGACTGCCGTGCAGCAGAGTCACCAATGACCAGTGACATATTCCAAGAAATCCAGAGTTTGCCAGCATTAGTGTCCATGGACAGAGGACCAAATGGGAGAACAACTGTATTCAGCTGTCCAAGGCTAGTGGAAGGACTGATGACAAATGCAAATTTGAGGAGGTGGGAATGGTCATTTGTCAGCCATAAACATTCACTACCGATTTATTAAAGTTACTCTTTAAAGAGCATATGCTCTTTATTTCAACTAGAGGATAAGTGCTGATACAGGGGCATCCCCTAACCCAACAATGCTACATGAAATTAAGTTGGAAGATATACAAATACTGAGTGAACGTTAGGGCTACACTAATAAAAAGCAACAAGTCAATACTATTTTATTTCTTACACACTCTCCTAGCTACAGAAAGATTTCTAAATTTTATCTCCATTTAGTTGTAAAATTGCTGGGTTTTAAAACAATAAGCATCGTAAGAAACAGTGAGTAGGAAGCTGACATAGGACTTCATTACTTTATTATTTCTTGAACTATCAGTAACAGGAGACTTTCCCCACACTAAGACTCTCTGGTGTACTATTCTTATAAAAGGCAGGCATTTGTGGAATTTTCCTGGATTTATAAAAGGTATTCTAAAGATGAATCATGTGGCTTTATTTTACACACTCTTTCTAGCCATACTAATTCCTCTACAGAGCTAGACAACACAATATAACTTTAACTTCACTAACAGCTGAGATTTCAAGTAAAGGCTAACTTTTCTCCATACTGAGCTGTTAGGAGATCTGTGTTTCTATGTTGTAATGACAGTGCTCTTTGTCTCCACCTTTAAATTAACATTCCTCCATTATATCTGTCTAAATAAAGATAGAGCCATATTAACTTATATTAACAAACATTACTTCCTTTGGGCCAAGTGAGGATCTAAAATGAAACATGAATCTTTCAATCACCTTAACAAAACCAGGCTCCTGTGAAACTAAAAACAGGCCATCCATTTACCTTTTAAAAAATTTGTGTTCAGCATGAGAAAAATTAGCTCAAAGGGTTCTGTTCTTCATTTTAAAAATGTTACACCAAACATCACCAATCACTCCCCTACTAAAAATTTAAATTATTAAAATTTGAGCATATGCCTTTTTAAGCCAGCATTACAGAAAGATAGTTAACAGTCCATAAATATAATTCCCTAAAATTAAAACAAATTTCATTAGTCCTATTTTGTTATTTCTACTTGCAATCTGTTGTCAACTTTTTTCTATCTTTTCTTTTACAAAAGTGAGATTATTTACTAGCAGAACCCACATATTTTCCTATTAGAAAAAAAACTTGAAAAAAAGTTTGCTGTATGGTTTTCACAGCAGTAAAGTTTTGTTATACTTTTGAAGCACTGACATTCCTGAAACATTAACCAGTGTGGCTGCTAAAATATTTAAACATTTAAATCCCTGAGAGGCAGTAAGAAGTGTCAATAAAATTAGAATTCGCTATGCAATATATTTTATTTTACATATGCTTTAAAGAGTACTAAGACAATATGGATTGATTTCCCTTTTAATGAATTTCACTCAGAGCTTGTATTGGAAATTTCAATGCATACTGACTCCACATTTACAAAGACTGAAATCTCCTTGAAAATGAATTTTGACATTGTCACAGTGAGTTTTGCCCTCTTTTTACATTTCACTTTTTAGTGTAGTTGGAAAGATGTTATTCCTTAGTGAGAATAAATCTGAAATAGAAATTCAAATGTTAGCTATAACATGATACATAAATATTCACTTGCATAACTTATCAAAAATTCAGTTATTGGATAAAATAAGTACAAATTGTAACTGTAATGTCATCAATTTATACAAAGAAGAAAATGCAATTGAAAGCCTCTTTGAGAGTGTACTAGGTATTTCTTCCTCTGTTTGTTCATTTACTTCACTGGAGAGTAGAGTTAGATTTTTGAGCGGACTTAAAGTCTACCTGTATATTCTACGAACATCAGGTTTGTTTCATTTTAAGAATTATATGTGAGACTTAGTAAAGATCTTTCCTCAACACATAGTGTCTGCTGAAATTATGTGAAATATGAAACAAAATTTTTAAAATGATGAAATTTATTTATCCCAATCTCTACTACCTTCACTCTAACTAAACAATTGAAAATGGAAAACGAATATACAAACCATTCAAATTATACATTTACCAGACTAAGGAAAATCTTGTTACTTAAATTTTGACAAGCCACATAATCTTTATCAACATGATATATTGTTGATTTTTATGGTCAGAATAATTGTCCACTCTATATTTTCTGAACTATAAGTCTTTGTCTGCTTATGTCACTTAAAATATAGTCTCAACTAATTCTTGTCCGTAACACTGTCACCAAGTTCAGTTTGTAACAATTTACAGTTTTCTGACAATATTTTTCAAATGCCAGTTGCTATCACAAACTCTTTTCCTATATTGTTCTATAATGCTTGGAAATAAAATAAATAAGCTATAATAGTAGGTTTTCCTGAATTGTAAAGACTTACACCCTTAATCCTTTAAATTTCATATTATGCATGCTTATAAACATTACATGCGGAAATTCCTCAAATTTCACATGTGCAGATAGTTTACTAATTCAAATGACTATCTTCTGATGGATTGCCAACAGACTGTGCCATCCAAACAGCTTTTTATATAACCAATGGCTCTGTGTCGTTACAATAATGTGAGGACTTCTACAATGGCAATGTGGCTACATCTTTTTTTCATCAATACTTCACATTTGACCCTAATTTTGAAAGTGAACACTAAGCAAATAATTTTTAAGCATTATTATTTTCTTTACATTAATAGACTTTATTTTTTTAAAACTACTTTGAATTTACAAAATAAGCGAGCTGATAGTACTGACGGTTCCTATATAATACCCCCCAACACACACAAATACACAAATGTTACCATATTAACATCTTGCAATAGTGTGATACATTTGTTTCAAAGAACAAAAATACTGACACATTATTATTAACTAAAGGTCATATTTTGTTCAGACTTCCAAAGTTTTTACCTAATATCCCTCTGCTATTCCAGGATGTCAGCCAGTATACCACATTATATTCAGTTGTCATATCTCCTTAGGCTCCTCTTGGCTGTGACAGTTTCTCAGACTTTCCTTGTTTTTGATAATCTTGCCAATTTAGACATTCTGATGTTCATAATGTTTACTTAATATTTTACTTTATCAAAAATAAATACAGTTCACTCTGGAACAACAGGGGTTTCAGCTGCGTGGTTTCACTTATAAGAGAAATTTCTTGCACCCAATAAGACAGCAAGAACAATCCCTTCTCTTCCTTCTCCTCCTTGGCCTACTGAATATGGAGATGAAAGAACAAAGACTTTTATGATGATCCACTTCTACTTAATGAATATTAAATACATTTTATCTTCCTTTTAATTGTCTTTAACATTTTATTTTCTCTATCCTACTTTATTATAAGAATACAGCATATAATACACTTAACATACCAAATACATGTTAGTTGACTGTTCATGTTATCATTAATCTTCCAATCAACAACAGGCTATTAAGAGTTAAGTTTTGGGGGAGTCAGAAGTTATACATGGATTTCTAGCTGCATGGGGGTTTGGCAACCCTGAGTAGTTCAAGGTCTAACTGTATGTATTTTCCTACAGAATTCTGTTACTTATTAAATGCATCAAAGTATTTCTTTCTTTCTTTCTTTTTGTTGATGTTGTTGGAGAGGGAAAAAGAGAAAGGTCAGGGAAAGATGGTAATGTAGAAGGAGGAAAATAAAAAGGACAGATTCAGCTTTAAAATTCTGCATAATAAAACAAATCTGCATTTTTCATAATAGGCTAAAGCTTTTATACTTTTAGCAGATATATTGGTTTCCTGAGGACTACTGAAAATAGAAAAAGAAAAGATAAAACTTAGATTAGCACATCAATCTATAACACTTGTTTGATTCAGAACCTATGGGCATATTATCTACAAAATGTGTCAAGCAGGACCCATCAATAATAAAAGATCCAGCTAATATAACAAAACCATAGGTATGCTGCTTACAGAAATGAGTTTCTGTTCCTGATGGCTATAATAAAAGCTAGATTACAAAATAGGGCTGAATAACATTGCATTCTAATCATTAAGAGTATAGTTTTGCTTTATTCTAGAATAAAAATTTCATCATGCCTTTAAGTTCAAAATTAGCACATATAAATATATATTACTGAATATAATTAAAATAAAATTTAAAATACACGTGGAATTTTAGATCTACATTTGATCATGTGCATATTCTCTAAAGATCATAGAGGTGCTAAAGAAATACGCTTGCATAAAACTACATTAAAACTGTACTCTTCTTTCCACTGATTGTTCCATGATGTTTCATGAAAATAATCACTATAGCTTTTGACAACAACAATTAGATAGTGAATGACAAATTTCTTAAACAGTGCCATAGAAGGGCCTTGTAGTATATTACTTTTAGTCATAATCACTTAACAAAGCTTTTACTAATTTTTATATTTATAATATTTATTAATTTTTTAAAAACATATAAACAAAAGATTCCTTCAAATCCTTCCATTTTATATTCTGTTATTTGCCAGTTAGATGGTACTTAGTGATGTACCATCAGTAACATGATTTTAATTTCCTCATATAAAGAGTGTAAGACAAGAAATATATCTAATGTCTCTTCTTTTCCTAAACTATTATTTTTTAACATAATTTAATAATTTTTGTCCGAATTCTCCAATGTTAGTTACAAATCAAACCAAAAATTCCTGGAAGAACTAAGTGACTGAGCTAGGAAAACTATCTATATTAGTTTCCACTAGGGAAAAACACATGAATACAGTTTTGGCTATTAGACACACAAAATTGTCTCTAAACGTTTATAAATTGGCTACTATCTGGTTAGAAAGGAAGCTGTCTTTGATAAGTATTTACTTTTAAGGATTCCTATTTAACATTTATTTTCATTTCCTGCAGATATATCATTTTCTTATCCTATAAACACACATTTTTAAAGACTTTTTAGAAGAATCATCTAGAAGTTTTGTTCAGTATTTTCATTGAGAAAATGGTTCAGAACAACTTGAAGCCTATTCTAGTAGAAATAAAGTAGAGCATTATTTAGAAAAGCATATTGCCAGCTCCCAATTCATAGAGCTATCACTTCTGTTTAATAACTTGATGATGGCTTTTACTGATATAGAGAATAGAGTCATATAATTGTGAAGAACAAACTCTTTAATTATTCAAATATTTACATACTCAGTATTTTATTTCATATCACAAGTTATAAACAAAGCTGTATTTTGTTTCTATTTAAGAAAAAACAGACAAAGAATTATGAAATTTAAATTTTTATACATGATTCCTAAGAAATCTCGGCTTTTAAAGGTTGGTACCACCTTCTATTGTTTTTCAGCTACACTTGGGGAATTTTTCCTTCAGTCTTTTCCCTATATTGATTCCTGCTCATAAAATATGTCACCACTCCCCCAACCTCTATTGCAATTTATTAAACTATAGTTCAAGTACAACCCCTTCTAAGGCCTATCCCACCTAATGCGGCCCACAGAAATATCTCTTTCCCCTGAATATAATACATTATTTTAGCCCTGATCATCATTGCCTAGTATTATACTTTCTTCCTCATGGACAAATATTAATACTTCAAATAAATCAATGAGTATCAGCTCTATTTTGTTAGTTGAATAGTGATATAACTGTAAATGAAGAGAGATCATTTCAGGGTAAGAAATCAGCACTTGAAATATTTTATAGATGAGAAAGAATGTGCTGCATTCGTCATTCATCTGATGCCACTGACTCCCTACTCTGCCAAGGAATGTTGGGCCTCTGTGAAGTCCTACCATGTATCGCACTTTCCACGAAGAGTTCCAAGTTTCTAAACCATCTCTGGCACCATGCCACTTTATCAATACCCACTTATCCTTCATGGAAAAACGTCACTTCTCTAGGATGTCTTTTCTTACCACCAAAACTGCTATGTCCTGCATACTGCTCTTTTCTTCATTAACGTTTTTTTTTTAAAAAAAATAGAATCTTCCATTAGACTGTATGCTGCACAGCTTTATTTGTTACTAGAATCCTAGGGCCTACAGTAAATCTTCAATAAATATTTGCTGGAAGTCAAGTTTAGTGTGTAGAAAAAGTGGTGGTGTTGAAGCTTGAGAACTTTGTAAGCTCTGCCAACAAAATCAGATTTTATAATGAAAGTAATGGGTAATATTGACTTTTAAATAGGTTAATGATCAAGATCAGTTTGGTGGGTCAGCACACCTTGTGGACAATACAGAGAATGGATGATAAGAGGTCAAACTGGAGATAGAGGCTAGATTATTACTCTGGCAGCTGTTATGAAAATCCATTTGGGAAAGACCTGCTTTTGTTGAGAAAATTCTCTGCTAAGCTATTTTTGATGGCGGAGACTGTGCCTTTGGGCTCATTGAGTCAGTCTACACTTAGCTCTGAAAGTTGACTATAGATGTACATTGCTTGAATTAAGAAAAGCAAGAATTCAAAGTGCTCAAAATTTGGAAAAGAACATGGCTACAAGGAAGAAACTGAGTAAAGTCCAGAAGAGATAACAAAATGAAACTCTTGAATACTCTCTGTCTCTCTCTTCCTCTCTCTCTCTCTCTCTCCTTCATGCATTTTCAACTGCTGTGCTCTTACCTGCACCAGGTGATTCCTCCCTATCACTCCAAAATCTAAAATGAAATAAATACTAATCATGAAAGTGTTTATATGATAGAAAGTTTTTATAGAGTGGGTTAAAAGATAAAATCTGAGAGGGGCTCTGAGTTCTGTATGAAGAATGAGAGGAAGAAACAAAACAAAACAAAAAACAACAAAGATGGCACTAATGGACACTGATGCCAGACCAAGGGCCGTAAAAGACCAACTGGATCACATAAAGTTAGTTAGAGGAAAACGATGGCCTGAATAAAGACTAAAACAAAAATTATAAAAAGAAATGTGAGAATTAAGAACAGGTAAAAAGTAGAATCCGTTAAAACTAGTGACACCTGGTTTCAAATTTTGAAGTCAGCACTGATGTTGGTGCTATTCACAAAAGAGGAAATAAATATGAAGCAAAAACAAAGTTATGGGCAGGAAGAATAAAGTTAATCTTGGATCTGTTAAATCTGATGCATATAATTGACATCCGATAAAATTGCTAGCAGGCCATGAAATACATGTATGTGCACATCAGGAAAGAGGACTGAACTGGAAGTAGACTTTGGAGACAATCATTCTAAGGGATGGTTGAAGCTGGCTTCTTCTAGTTTCACAGGGGTATAAAAATGTAGACTATGAGTAATGTAATTCTTAGTAATCAAAGCTTCTCTCAAGTGTAGTATCTTATATGTGAGAATAGTGAAGATCATAGTAAGTAGGGATTGGACAAAATCTACATATATAAATGCATCTATAGGCATAAAACAATAAAGTTTGCCATATAATTCATGTATGCATGTAAAGAAATATGAGTATTATAGTTAGCGGTATACTGAGGATGATACATATTTTACCTTTGAAAATAAAACAAAAAAGCAAACATGATTCTATTAAGGATGTATAATGAGAAATGGAGGCTGTTCACAATTCTTTATATGGACAAGATCTGAAGGCAATGATACATGAATTAATAAATCACCCCTATGGATTTTTCAGATTCCTGTATTTCTTATCTAAAATATATTTTTGGAACTAAGACAGCATTACTTGCAAGACGCACATTTTATGTACCTCTTTAAAGAAAAAAAAGTTGCTAATCAATGCTAAAACACCTTATTAACACATCAATATCATAGATGTAAAAAATAAAATACTGTGAATTTTTCTTTTTTTTTTTTTTGAGACAGAGACTTGCTCTGTCACCCAGGCTGGAGCGCAGTGGCGCAATCTCTGCTCACTGCAACCTCAGCCTCCCGGGTTCACGCCATTCTCCTGCCTCAGCCTCCCGAGTAGCTGGTACTACAGGCGCCCGCCACTGTGCCCAGCTAATTTTTTGTATTTTTAGTAGAGACAAGGTTTCACCATGGTTTCGATCTCCTGACCCGGTGATCCGCCCACCTTGACCTCCCAAAGTGCTGGGATTACAGGCGTGAGCCACCACGCCCAGCCCAATATTTCATTCATTAAAATGTGTTATTAAAAAAGAACCACCTAGGCCTGGTGCAGTGGCTCACGCCTGTAATCCCAGCACTTTGGGAAGCCGATGCAGGCGGATCACCTGAGGTTAGGAGTTCAAGACCAGCCTGGGCAACATGGTAAAATCCCGTCTCTACTAAAAATACAAACAAGTTAGCCGGGCATAGTGGCTCTTGCCTGTAATCCCAGCTACTCAGGGGGCTGAGGCAGAAGAATCACTTAAACTCAGGAGGCGGAGGTTAATAAAAAAAGAAAATGAATCACCTGGTGGAGCCAGAAGCGGTGGCTCACACCTGTATTCCCCGCACTTTGGGAGGCCAAGGCAGGCAGATCACGACATCAGGAGATTGAGACCATCCTGGCCAACATGGTGAAACCCTGTCTCTACTAAACTACAAAAAATTATTCGGGCATGGTGGCACGCGCCTGTAGTCCCAGCTACTCAGGAGGCTGAGGCAGGGGAATCGTTTGAACCCAGGAGGTGAAGGTTGCAGTGAGCCGAGATGACGCCACTGCACTCTAGCCTGGCAATAGAGCAAGACTCCATCTCAAAATAAATAAATATAAATAAATAAATAAAAAGAACCACCTGGTAAAATTGATAATTTTTATTTCCATTTTCATTCAATATTTTTATCATTATTTACACCAAATAATATATATTTTAATTATTTTCTGATCTATGAATGCTCTACATATGGGAGCAGGCCCAAGTTACTATTGATGCCAAGATATGTGAAAAAAACTAGATCTTTCAGTGCATATACTGATGTTCAATAAGTAGACAAAATCTCACAAGGAGAAAACAAAAGAGACTTCCCAAGTCATCATTATCGAATATGGAAGAATTTACAACGATAAGCTGATTTAATCCATCTCTCAGTAATGCTCCTGTTTACCCTGTCATTTTGAGGCTGTTGAGAGTGTACTGCACTTGGGACAAAGTTTGAAAATATTTTAGTTCATGAGAGATTTCTTTCCATCTAAACCTTATCCCGAATATCCATTTGAGACACAGCCTGAAGATGCTTCTGTAATGTTACCCAAAGTCGCCTGCCTAAAAATAAACATAGCAGAAAATTAGGTAATTTGGTTAAGAATCCCATATCTGGTGTTTTTTTGTTTGTTCGTTTGGTGTTTTTTTTTCTGTTTTCGAAACAGGGTCTCTATGACTTGACATTGATCTTATAGAAAGAGAGAGAGAGAGAGACTCACTCTGTTGCCCAGGCTGGAGTGCAGTGGTGCAATCATGACTCACAGCAGCCTCAACTTCCTGGGTGTAAGCGATCCTCCCACCCCAGCCTCCCAACTGGCTGGGACTACAGGTGCATGCCACCATGCTTGGATAATTTCTTTTATGTTTTGTAAAGATGAGGGTCTCTCTATATTGTCTAGGCTAGTCTTGAACTCCTAGGCTCAAGCAATTTTCCAGCCTAGCCTCCCAAAGTGCTGGAGGATCATGTGTCTGGTTCTATGGGCTCTTCAGAATAGGGATGAAATTTATTCCGTTGTTGAATTGAGCACTCTTGGCCACTGGCCAAGGAGTGGACACAAACCCTGATAATAATCCTTCTATTTGTGTTGTTGTGTTCAGAGATGTGATTTCCAGAGTCTTAAATGACTTTGCACATCTGCTGCCCTGTCAAGTTCTCCAACAAAGAAAAAGGTCATTCAAGAGGAAAAAACTGACTTTCATGGACATTTGAGATAATGAGCCCTAGAAATCTGATATGTGATTGTAACACCTCAAACATTAGTGAAAATCTGGATTGATTATGCCTTTAGTTAAAAATGTTCTATCCTTCTCCCTCCCTCAGTAGGGAGACTGAGGCCCAAAACCACCAACCCACAAACAGCAGACTGTCTACTTTAACATCACTTTCCTATTTTATTGTCTTTTTGGTGTACCCTAACAATTCCAAAACATTTTACACCACTGACTGTCCCCAAAGACCCACCAATTTTTCAATAAAAAGCATCAACAGAGAGTTCAACCCCTAAGAGTCATTAAATTCTTCATGTTAAAATCCTCCCCTCACTGTTTCCGCCAATCCTACAACTCTAAACTTTTTATATGCTTTTTATGTTTTTCCCCATATTCTTTCCCCAGGTTCTTGCAAAAGACTACATAGATATAAGGATAAAAAAATCATTATTTTTATCCAATTCAAACAAACCCTTCAATTGAAACATCTGCCTTAAACCACATTCATACTCTCAGTAAATCCTATCTTGTACTTTCCTCTACAGAAAACTACCAGAATTCAGTCAAGGTAGCGTTTTTCCCTTACCTCAGTAAACAATAAACTGAACACTGTCTTATCAAAAGGTTGAAGAGCCAGCATTTAACACTATTATGGCTTCAATCAGATCTACTATCATTCTACTATCCAGACAAGGCTTAGCCTACTTTAGGTTATGCTAGCACGTTATGATGTAAGGGTACAGAAAATGTGGTCTTGATAAGAGTAAGAGTTTCCCAATTCCATCATAAGCTTTTAGAAAATGTGATTAATAAGATAGAGTATCAGAAAATAAATAAAAGAGATAAGATGCTATCATATGACCTGATGAATAGAAAGTCTATAATTGTTTTTAGTATGCACAATTGCAACCTAATTTGTTGTAATTGTGTGAATCTTCATTATTATTTCTCTTTTCTGCCTCAGGCACGATAGGAAATTATGTTTCATGTCAGTGGTTATTTTTCTTGTTGGTGAACAACTTTAAATACATAAATATTCTATTCCTTTAGAAGAAAGACCAGCGTTTGCTTTCTTAATTACTTGTTCATTTTGATAGTGACAGCTGATGTTCCTGGCATTATTCAAGCAATTGTATGGAGATGTCACCACATAATTGTAAGAGGCCATGAAATTTTATATTGAGACACATATTTTCTTTTCTAATTGCACCAGAAAAACCATGCCGAATGAAATACATCTTTTCTTTTGACTGTATCCTCTAATGAACTTGGGCCATTGACTGCCCTTTTGTGCAGCAGAAGAGAGTTTATGTCAGTAGGAAATGCTACAATAGCAGGTTACAAGTAAATACTATGACTTCATTAAAATTGTTGTTATTTAATACTAAATTAGGTCAGGATGTATAAACATTTTTCAGCTACTGTTGATTGGATTTAGAAAACTGTTCCATCTAAAAGCCTTCTTTGTCACTGAAGCAATCCTCTTAAAAATATAGCAAAGTCTGAAAGGCAAAATAGATAGGCAGAAGCACTTTTAAATCAGGAAATGCAAATGATTTAGTCTGTTGGCAACTACCATAAAAATCAAATAATTGCCATCTTACTACATGGAGCTAGTCAATTTCTTACTTAAGAGTCATCTCTTTATTACAAGCAAACTATGTGACCCTGAACAAAACATTTAAAACTATTAATATTCATAGGAGAAGAAGTAGGAGGAGCTTCTACTTCTAAAATTCTCTCCCAGTTAGAACATTATTCTGTCACTTAAGTACATCATTTAACACAGAGTATGAAAAGAGTGCACCCAGGTGAATGTTACTATTTTAATTAATAAGTTCAATATTTTTTAATGGGAGTGTAAAAGAATGTATCAAACTAATGAATTAATCAATTGGTCAATTTGTAAATTGGTCGAGCAAAAACAGCTAATAAAAAATATTAAATTTTGAAATATCTACACTAAAAATGTATTATCGATAATTATATAGTCTTGTGTTTAAGGAATATCATGGTCCCCATACTCAATTAGTAGACTATAAATTACTGCTTTTTCAAGTACGACAATTAGGAAAGCCTTTCGCACAGCTATCCTTATATCTAAGTAGTCTTTTGCAAGAACCTGGGGAAAGAATATGGGGAAAAACATAAAAAACATATAAAAAGTTTAAGGTATATTCACATTTTTGCCATGGGGAATCATTATAAAATGACACTTCCTGGATAGTTAAAGCATATGAAGAACTGAGGGTTTATTTTCATTCAATAAATTAAAGAATAAATAAGAGTTTAGATATATTTCCAAAGTGAATTATACAGCTCTCCATCTCAGAATAATGCAGAATGTATTTTTTCTTGATGATTAAGAACTACAATAATAGTTTTTAAAAAGTAATGGTGTGCCACATTGTAATACAGCAATACTTCATTCCCTGCTGCTTCTCTCTCCTCTTCTCTCTCCTCTTCTAAGATGTTATTATGATTTTCAGTGCCTTGGAAAACATATAACCAAGTATATTAGAACTGTACATAAAATTAGAAGCATCAAGGTCTAGAAAAACAGTTAAAAGAAACTGCCATTTAATGTTAAGATCTAGGTTAATACTGGCTGAATAAGTTCTTTAACCAGAGTATTTGCTCCCTCCACTGTACTTGATGTATATTAACATCTATTTCAGAGTGTTACTGTGATAATTTGATGAGATAACATATTTGAAATAGCTTGTAAACTATAAAGCTGAATACAAATGTATGACAGGATTACTATCATCGTTAGAAGAACAAGATTGCCATCTAATGGCAACCAAGCAGATAACAGGTATTGTATCCCTTTTGAAGTAGAAATACAGAGTAATAGGATCTGCTGATGAAACACACAAAGTGACAACTGAGATCACAATTTCATCCTCACTAAAGTGTTATCAAAATTGTAGTGTAATAGAAAATTTGGAAACGCTATTATAACTGCTCCTTCTAGTAACTAAACATCATTGAGAGCTTTTATAGTGGAAACAGTAAGTGGGTATCAAAGCCACATAGGCATAATTGAAACCCAAGAATAGCTCTGTAATCATGCACAAATAACAGTGCTCTTCTGGGTTTCTCTTCCTTCATCTATGAAGAGAGAATGATAACACTTTCTGAGAATTGCTGTGAGGATTAAATTAGATAATCCAAAATGCTTAGAAATTATAGCTTAAAACTAAAGCAAAACCTGAAACAACAAAGTGCCCAGGCCAGTGGTCAGCACAATGTATATGCTTCAATAAATAAACATAGTTAATTCCAACTTCTTAGGTGAAGTCAAAGACAAATATATATTAAGTGATGCCCATAACTTAAAAAGCTATTAGAACAGAAGGTCAGTTTAAAACAAATGCTTCAGTGAACATGTGATTTTAACATTTTACATGAATTAATTTTATTAGTCAACAGAATCAAAATGGCTAATTACAGAGCCTCAGAGTCAGAAATACCATGTTTGAGTCTAGCTGGGATATTTATTCCTATAATGCTTTATCACTCAAAGCTCCAACTTTCTCAAATGAGAAAGTGATGTTATTTACCTCATAAATTGGCACCTAGACTCAATAAATATTATTTATTATCCCATTATTTTATTTAGTGCTATAATTTTATAAGCTTAGAAATAAATGATAAAAATTAGTTGCATGTGCTGTGGCATTCTATACTTAAAATTTGAGAAATTCTATATTTAAAAATGTTAAGATTTTCCACTAATAGAGACTGGAAAGATCACTAAATCTGTCAGAATCAGATGCTGATTGGCCTACATACAGGTATATCACATTTTACATGCATATTTTTAAAATGGTATTAGCAGTAGTTCTTAAAAATATATATGCTGGACATGAGATTGCATATTCTACAAAGCTTTAACTTATTGTTTCTCCATCAAATTTATGAGGTAGATACATCATCGCGCCCATTTTCAGATGAAGAAGAAAAGCTGCAAAAGATTAAATAACTTGCTCAAGTTTACATAGCCTGGCTGGTGGTTGAGATTTGTCTAATTCCAGAGCCAGCATCCATATTTTTAACCATTATGTTATACTTCAAAAATTAAGTGCTGTATGTTTCTTAGTTTTATATAATCAGATTAAAAATACTTTAGACACACTTTTTCTGACCAAGACACATCAGAGCTTGTAGAAATTTATAGTTGATTTCTATAATTTTCCCTGTGTGAATGTTGTTGCAATTCTCTGTACATTACCATTCGTATTAGGAAAACCACTAGGGTTTCATCTCTGCTCTGCTGTACTATTATTCATTAAAAATTAATAACAAAAATTATCTCCCTAATTAATAGGCACAGGAGGAGTTCCTAACTCACTGCAGAATTTTTATATTGCTTGTTCATCAAACTCAAAATAATTTAGCAACTACGCAATTAATTCCTCATTGATATCATTGGGCCATTACTTCCCCATTTTCCTTTGGATATATACCAAGAGACACTGCCCTAGGTGTTTTCAGATCTAATATACTAAATAAATAACCAAAACAACATAAAATATCTTCATTCTATCATCCAAATGACCATTACATTCTTTTTATCCAAAAACATTAAATAAGTAAGATATATTTTTAATTTAATTTAAAAACTCTTCTGCAAATTGTAAATATCAACCTTAATACAAAGTAACAGCCATAATTTCTCTTTGAGTATTAATGATTAATGGTTAATATTAATGGTTAATAATTTTTAAGGTATTTAAAATAGAAATTTATTCTTTTTCAAATAAATTTCTATTTTAAATATGCTATGGCAATTTGGACATTTGACTAACAACCAGAAAAAAAGTTCATGCATTTAAATGCATTGGTTTTTTTAAATTTTTTTTATATTTATTATACTTTAAGTTCAGGGATACATGTGCAGAAGGTGCAGGTTTGTTACATAGGCACACATGTGCCATGGTGGTTTGCTGCACCTATCAACCCGTCATCTAGGTTTTAAGCCCTGAATGCATTAGGTATTTGTCCTAATTCTCTCCCTCCTCTTGCCCCCAACCCACTGACAGGCCCTGGTGTGTGATGTTCCCCTGCGTGTGTCCACGTGTTCTCATTGTTCAGCTCCCACTTATAAGTGAGAACATGTGGTGTTTGGTTTTCTGTTCCTGTGTTAAGTTTGCTAAGAATAATGGTTTTCAGCTTCATCCATGTCCCTGCAAAGAACATGAACTCATTCTTTTTTATGGTAAATGCACTGGTTTTAACACAAAGAAATATACCACCTATTATAAGCAAAGTGTCCTATTTGATTTTTGAATATTTAGTACTAGTAAATTATCACTTAAAATGTTACATAAAATTTAGATAATAACATTTAAATCAGAAAGCACATTTTAAAATAATTTATAATAATGATAAAACATTAAGAAACTAGGGTCTACAAAAAATAACCAATAATGGGACAACGTCTTTAACAAGGAATTAAAACTGTCTAAAATTTCAAGAATGGTAACCAACTTGTACTGGGCTCTTACCCTATTTTGGGCAACTGAGAATAGAACTTTGCATGTCACTCATTTAGATAGGATTATATTTTGAGACAGACATAATTATTGTCATTTTACAAATGAGGAAACTGAGCTCAGAAATATCATTTGTTGAAAGCAACTGTGGGCAGAGCTGGAATTCTAACTTGGATATGCCTATCTTTAAAATGCCTGCTCTCTTTTGATATTAATTTGTAGTTTCTTTATTTTGAATGAATCATTAAGGTGCAATTTTCTCTCAGAGTTATTGTGAGGATTAAGTTGAGAGGGTTTACAAAAAGAGACTGGCTCATTATAGGCATTCAATTTTCCTTTCCATCAACCTATTTTTAACTTTATGAATTTTAAAATATTTAATTGATAAATAAGATTGAATATAGTCAAGGTAAAAAAAAGGTAATGATTTGATATACGTACATATTGTGCAGTGATAGCCACAAATTAATTAACACATCCCTCACCATTCATGCTGTATATTAGATCCTCAGAATGTGCTCATCTTACAACTGAAAGTTTGTATCTTTTGATCATCTCTCCATTTCCCTACCCTGAAGCCACTGCTAGTTCTACTCCCATCAACTGAGATCTCCAGCTATAAATTGCCAATGATTATGTACAACCTACCCCAGTACTAACACAGAAGTCAGGGTAAGAATTAAAGAAACAGTATTGTAAGTAATATACTCCAAATGGGTAACACTAAAATGTGTTTTAGCCCTCTTTTAACTTTAATTCATTTAATTATGATGCATCACTCTCATTACCCAGGTGCATATTTCCCATCAGCTTCTGCCACTACGAAGATAATCCTATGAGTAGCCGAAATAGAAACAGGACCTTGTTTTAGTTTACCATGGATTAAATAGCTAAAGATTAAGTATTCCAAAACACAAACCCAAATTCTTATTTAGAATATGCATTGCTTAATATTTAACCAGTTATTTGATAACAGCCATTTGCAAAATTGTCTTATTTGTTACCCAGTGGTTATCTTTCATCAACAGCTCATTTCAGAGGATTCATCAGGAAATAACATTGCTTAATATCTGATATTTTATTAAGCTTTATGGTAATTACTTTCTGTCTGACTAAAATTCTTGACAATATTTACTTTACCTAATTTCCATATTGAAATTATTTGAGGAATACAAAGTATAAAAAAAGTTAATCGATTTTATTTTGAATTAAGTACGTTCCTTATAAGGCTCCAAGCTTTTGCCACACTGACGTGGCACCGTTTAGAACTGTTAATACTGAACTGGCAGCATGATGTCTCAGCTTGTACTGAAGGGGGTTGCTAAGCAAATTATTCCCGATTCAAATCATGTGCACCTTATGAAGACATGTGAGCAAAATACATTTCAGTTCTTAGGAACAAGAATTATTTTATTTAAGAAAATACATTCACTGATTGAATGATTGATGATATATATTTTGATTTTTCAACTGATTTTCTTTCTTCATACATGCTAATAGGACACTCAAAATAACATTTTCAATTCACCGTCATAACACTAGTAAACTTTTTGTGCCTTAACCTTATCCATAGCCTCATCTTATTTTTTTTCATATCCTGGTTACTTTGTTTTCCTTAAATGATTATTATTTTATCTGTGTTATAAATATTTTGCAAGATGCATAAGTGAATAGAAAAATATCCTCAAAACAAATGTGAAACTACATAAAGAAAAACAAACAAAAATGTATTGCTGGTATTTTTCCTTAGACAAATTGTATAGTTCATAACATATACTTCACTGTGAAGAAAACTTCAAGGGAACTTATTTGAAATATTGACCTTGAATATTTCAAGGTCAAGTCTTTGAAATATTAAATGCTAGTAAATATCATTAAAACCCCTTTTTAAAAAAATATGCTGAGGTTTATCTAACGAACCTCGCTGCTAACATATTGCATGACTCAATTTGTGACAAAAACAATACTATACAAACATGAATAAGAAAGTGAGGACAGATAAAAAGTGTGAAGGGTCACTAATATACTTTTTAGTTTATCAAAGTATAAATGCTAGCATCTCATATTTTCTAACATAAAATCCCTGTGCTTGATCATATATGCTTTATAAATTATTTATTTAAAGGAGAAACAATAAATGTAATATTTTACCACAAGAAAATAGAAATGTCTGGTAGTAAAAAACTTATAATCCTGTGTTTGAAACATAATGTGTATTATTTCACAAAAAATGGTTTCCAGAAAACATTTTTCAGAAACTCAAGAAAATATAATAAAAAAATCCTTTAAATCTAAAACCTTTTAAATTGAAAACCTTAGCCTTTATATTAGAATTTAAAACAATAAAATTAGATAATGCCAAGATCATGGTAAATTATTGAAATTTTTAATTTTATTTTTAAATTTTTTTCCTCTCAAGGCTATCTCCTTTTAGGAACTCACTTTGAATTCATATACCATTCTTTCATTGAAATTGTTCTTCCTGGCTTTCATAAAAATAATAATATCCACTTACTGCACTATAAAACATATTTTATTTCTATCATTATTTGTACTACTGCTCCTTTTAGGAAGAAGATATATATATATATATATATATATATATATTTTTTTTTTTTTTTTTTTTTTTTTTTTTTTTTTGAGACGGTGTCTCGCTCTGTCACCCAGGCTGGGGTGCAGTGGCGCAATCTTGGCTCACTGCAAGCTCCACCTCCCGGGTTCACGCCATTCTCCTGCCTCAGCCTCCCGAGTAGCTGGAACTACAGGCGCCCGCCACTACGCGCGGCTAATTTTTTTTTTTTGTATTTTTAGTGGAGACGGGGTTTCACCGTGGTCTTGATCTCCTGACCTCGTGATCTGCCCGCCTTGGCCTCCCAAAGTGCTGGGATTACAGGCGTGAGGGAGGAACATATATTAATTTAGGACTCTTTATTACAAGGATTTATGAAACTATTCAAATTATTCAATACAATCAGCAAAAACTAAACATTCACACCCCGTATCATTTTTATACCAGTACCATGCTGTTTTGGTGACTATGGCCTTATAATTTGAAGTTGGGTAATGTGCCTCCAGATTTGTTTGCTTAGTCTTGCTTTGGCTATGTGAGCTCTTTTATGGTTCCATATGAATTTTAGGGTTTTTTCTTTCTAGTTCTGCAAAGAATAATGGTAGTGTTTTGAAGGGAATTGCACTGAATTTGTAGATTGCTTATAGCAGTATGGTTTTTTTCACGATAATGGTTCTACCCATCCACGAGCATAGGATGTGTTTCCATTTGTTTGTGTCACTGATAATTTCTTTCAGCACTGTTTGTAGTTTACCTTGTAGAGGTCTTTCATGTCCTTGGTTAGGTATATTCCTAAGTATTTTACTTTATGTTTTTGCAGCTATTGTGAAAGGGGTTGTGTTCTTCATTTGATTCTCAGGTTGGTAACTGTTGGTGTATAGAAGGGCTACTGATTTGTGTACATTAATTTGGTATCCTGAAACTTTGCTAAATTCATTTACCAGGAGGTTTTTGAATGAGTCTTTAGGGTTTTCTAGGTATATGATCATGTCTTCAGCAAACAGTGACAGCTTGACTTCCTCTTTACTGATTTGGATGCTCTTTATTTCTGACAGCTTGACTTCCTCTTTACTGATTTGGATGCTCTTTATTTCTTTCTCTTGTCTGATGGCTCTGGCTAGGACTTCCAGTACCATGTTGAATAGTAGTAGTAAAAGTGAGCATCTTTGTCTTGTTCCAGTTCTCAGGGAGAATGCTTTCAACTTTTCCCCATTCAGTATGATGTTGTCTGTGGGTCTGTCATAGATGGCTTTTATTACCTTAAGGTATGTCCCTTCTATGCCGATTTTGCTGACGATTTTAATCATAAAGCAATGCTGGATTTTGTCAAAGGCTTTTTCTAATTCTATTGAGATGATCATGTGATATGTGTTTTTAATTCTGTTTTGCTTGTGTGTCACTTTTATTGACTTACATCTGTTAAACCATCCCTGCATCCCTCGTATGAAAACCACTTGATCATCATGGATTATCTTTTTGGTTTTTTTTTTTTTGATGTTTATATTTATGATTCAGCATCTTTTTTTAACATTCAAAATTCTTTTTTTTATTATTATTATACTTTAAGTTTTAGGGTACACATGCACAACGTGTAAGTTTGTTACATATGTATACCTGTGCCATGTTGGTGTGCTGCACCCATCAACTCGTCATGTAGCATTAGGTATATCTCCCTATGCTATCCCTCCCCCCTCCCCCCACCCCACAACAGTCCTCAGTGTGTGAGGTTCCTCTTCCTGTGTCCATGTGTTCTCATTGTTCAGTTCCCACCTATGAGTGAGAACATGCGGTGTTTGGTTTTTTTGTCCTTGCAATAGTTTCCTGAGAATGATGGTTTCCAGCTTCATCCATGTCCCTACAAAGGATATGAACTCATCCTTTCTTAAGGCTGCATAGTATTCCATGGTATATATGTGCCACATTTTCTTAATCCAGTCTATCATTGTTGGACATTTGGCTTGGTTCAAAGTCTTTGCTATTGTGAATAGTGCCGCAATAAACATACGTGTGCATGTGTCTTTATAGCAGCATGATTTATAATCCTTTGGTGTATAAGAATGCCTGTGATTTTTGCACATTGATTTTGTATCCTGAGACTTTGCTGAAGTTGCTTATCAGCTTAAGGAGATTTTGGGCTGAGACAATGGGGTTTTCTAGATGTACAATCATGTTATCTGCAAACAGGGACAATTTGACTGCCTCTTTTCCTAATTGAATGCCCGCTATTTCCTTCCCCTGCCTGATTGCCCTGGCCAGAACTGCCAACACTATGTTGAATAGGAGTGGTGAGAGAGGGCATCCCTGTCTTGTGCCAGTTTTCAAAGGGAATGCTTCCAGTTTTTGTCCATTCAGTATGATATTGGCTGTGGGTTTGTCATAGATAGCTCATGTTATTTTGAGATACATCCCATCAATACCTAATTTATTGAGTTTTTAGCACGAAGTGTTGTTGAATTTTGTCAAAGGCCTTTTCTGCATCTATTGAGATAATCATGTGGTTTTTGTCTTTGGTTCTGTTTATATGCTGGATTACGTTTATTGATTTTCGTATGTTGAACCAGCCTTGCATCCCAGGGATGAAGCCCATGTGATCGTGGTGGATAAGATTTTGATGTGTTGCTGGATTCAGTTTGCCAGTATTTTATTGAGGATTTTTGCATCAGTGTTCATCAGGGATATTGGTCTCAAATTCTCTTTTTTTGTTGTGTCTCTGCCAGGCTTTGGTATCAGGATGATGCTGGCCTCATAAAATGAGTTAGGGAGGATTCCCTCTTTTTCTATTGATTGGAATAGTTTCAGAAGGAATGGTACCAGCTCCTCCTTGTACCTCTGGTAGAATTCGGCTGTGAATCCATCTGGTCCTGGACTTTTTTTGGTTGGTAGGCTATTAATTATTGCCTCAATTTCAGAGCCTATTATTGGTCTATTCAGTGATTCAACTTCTTCCTGGTTTAGCCTTAGGAGGTGTATGTGTCCAGGAATTTATCCATTTCTTCTAGATTTTCTAGTTTATTTGTGTAGAGGTGTTTATAGTATTCTCTGATGCTGGTTTGTATTTCTGTGGGATCAGTGGTGATATCCTCTTTGTCATTTTTTATTGTGTCTATTTGATTCTTCTCTCTTTGCTTCTTTATTAGTCTTGCTAGTGGTCTATCAATTTTGTTGATCCTTTCGAAAAACCAGCTCCTGGATTCATTGATTTTTTGAAGGGTTTTTTGTGTCTCTATTTCCTTCAGCTCTTCTCTGATCTTAGTTATTTCTTGCCTTCTCCTAGCTGTTGAATGTGTTTGCTCTTGCTTCTCTAGTTAATTGTGATGTTAGGGTGTCAATTTTAGATATTTCCTGCTTTCTCTTGTGGGCATTTAGTGCTATAAATTTCCCTCTACACACTGCTTTGAATGTGTCCCAGAGATGCTCGTATGTTGTGTCTTTGTTCTCGTTGGTTTCAAAGAACATCTTTATTTCTGCTTCATTTCATTATGTACCCAGTAGTCATTCAGAACAGGTTGTTCAGTTTCCATGTACTTGAGCGGTTTTGAGTGAGTTTCTTAGTGCTGAGTTCTAGTTGGATTGCACTGTGGTCGGAGAGACAGTTTGTTATACTTTCTGTTCTTTTACATTTGCTGAGGAGTGCTTTACTTCCAACTATGTGGTCAGTTTTGGAATAGGTGTGGTGTGGTGCTGAAAAGAATGTATATTCTGTTGATTTGGGGTGGAGAGTTCTGCAGATGACTATTAGGTCCACTTGGTGCAGAGCTGAGTTCAATTGCTGGATATCCTTGCTAACTTTCTGTCTCATTGATCTGTCTAATGTTGACAGTGGGGTGTTAATGTCTCCCATTATTATTGTGTGGGAATCTATGTCTCTTTGTAGGTCACTAAGTACTTGCTTTATGAATCTGGGTGCTCCTGTAATGGGTGCATGCATATTTAGGATAATTACCTCTTCTTGTTGAATTGATCCCTTTACCATTATGTAATGGCCTTCTTTGTCCCTTTTGATCTTTGTTGGTTTAAAGTCTGTTTTATCCGAGACTAGGATTGCAACCCCTGCCTTTTTTTGTTTTCCATTTGCTTGGTAGATCTTCCTCCATCCCTTTATTTTGAGCCTATGTGTGTCTCTGCACATGAGATGGGTTTCCTGAATACAGCACACAGATGGGTCTTAACTCTTTATCTGATTTGCTAGTCTGTGCCTTTTAATTGCAGCATTTAGCCCATTTACATTTAAGGTTAGTATTGTTATGTGTGAATTTGATCCTGTCATTATGATGTTAGCTGCTTATTTTGCTCTTTAGTTGATGCAGTTTCTTCCTAGCCTTGATGGTCTTTAAAATTTAGCATGTTTTTGCAGTGGCTGGTACCAGTTGTTCCTTTCCATGTTTAGTGCTTCCTTCAGGAGCACTTTTAGGGCAGGTCTGGTGGTGACAAAATCTCTCAGCATTTGCTTGTATGTAAAGGATTTTATTTCTCCTTCACTTATGAAGCTTAGTTTGGCTGGATATTAAATTCTGGGTTGAAAATTCTTTTCTTTAAGAATGTTGAATATTGGCCCCCACTCTCTTCTGGCTTGTAGAGTTTCTGCCGAGAGATCAGCTTTTAGTCTGATGGGCTTCCCTTTGTGGGTAACCCGACCTTTCTCTCTGGCTGCCCTTAACATTTTTTCCTTCATTTCCACTTTGGTGAATCTGACAATTATGTTTCTTGGAGTTGCTCTTCTCGAGGATTATCTTTGTGGCGTTCTCTGTATTTCCTGAATTTGAATGTTGGCCTGCCTTGCTAGATTGGGGAAGTTGTCCTGGATAATATCCTGCAGAGTGTTTTCCAACTTGGTTCCATTCTCCCTGTCACTTTCAGGTACACCAATTAGATGTAGATTTGGTCTTTTCACATAGTCCCATATTTCTTGGAGGCTTTGTTTGTTTCTTTTTATTCTTTTTTCTCTAAACTTCTCTTCTCACTTTATTTCATTCATTTTGTCTTCCATCACTGATACCCTTTCTTCCAGTTGATCGCATCAGTTACTGAGGCTTGTGCATTCATCACGTAGTTCTCCTGCTGTGGTTTTCAGCTCCATGAGGTCCTTTAAGGACTTCTCTGCATTGGTTATTCCAGTTATCCATTCATCTAATTTGTTTTCAGTTTTTAACTTCTTTGCCATTTGTTCGAACTTCCTCCTTTAGCTTGGAGTAGTTTGATCTTCTGAAGCCTTCTTCTCTCAACTCATCAAAGTCATTGTCCGTCCAGCTTTGTTCCGTTGCTGGTGAGGAGCTGCATTCCTTTGGAGGAGGAGAGGTGCTCTGATTTTTAGATTTCTGGTTTTTCTGTTCTATTTTTCCCCTATCTTTGTGGTTTTATCTACCTTTGGTCTTTGATGATGGTGACGTACAGATGGGTTGTTGGTGTGGATGTCCTTTCTGTTGGTTAGTTTTCCTTCTAGCAGTCAGGACACTCAGCTGCAGATCTGTTGGAGTTTACTGGAGGTCCACTCCAGACCCTGTTTGCCTCGGTATCAGCAGTGGTGGCTGCAGAACAGTGGATATTGGTGAACCGCAAATGCTGCTGCTTAATCGTTCCTCTGGAAGTTTTGTCTCAGAGGAGTATCCGGCCGTGTGAGGTGTCAGTCCTCCCCTACTGGGGGATGCCTCCCAGTTAGGCTACTCGGGGGTCAGGGACCCACTTGAGGAGGCAGTCTGCCCATTCTCAGATCTCAAGCTGCGTGCTGGGAGAATCACTACTCTCTTCAAAGCTGTCAGACAAGGACATTTAAGTCTGCAGAGGTTATTGCTGTCTTTTGTTTGTCTGTGCCCTGCCCCCATAGGTGGAGCCTACAGAGGCAGGCAGGCCTCCTTGAGCTGGGTGGACTCTACCTAGTTCGAGCTTCCCAGCCGCTCTGTTTAGCTACTCAAGCCTGGGCAATGGCGGGTGCCCCTCCCCCAGCCTTGCTGCTGCCTTGCAGTTTGATCTTAGACTGCTGTGCTAGCAATGAGTGAGGCTCCGTGGACGTAGGACCCTCTGAGCCATGCGCGGGATATAATCTCCTGGTGTGCCGTTTGTTAGGCCCGTTGGAAAAGTGCAGTATTAGGGTAGGAGTGACCCGATTTTCCAGATGCCGTCTGTCACCCCTTTCTTTGACTAGGAAAGGGAATTCCCTGACCCCTTGCACTTCCCAGGTGAGGTAATGCCTCACCCTGCTTCGGCTCATGTAGGGTGCGCCACACCCACTGTCCTGCACCCACTGTCCAGCACTCCCCCGTGAGATGAACCCAGTACCTCAGTTGGAAATGCAGAAATCACCCGTCTTCTGCGTCGCTCACGCTGGGAGCTGTAGACTGCAGCTGTTCCTATTCGGCCATCTTGGCTCCACCTCTGGATCATCTTTTTGATATGATGCTGGATTTAGTTTGCTAGTATTTTTCTGAGAATTTTTGCATCTATGTTCATCAGGGATATTTGTCTGTAGTTTTCTTTTGTTATGTCTTTCCCTGGTTTTGGTATCAGGGTGATACTGGCTTCATAGAATGATTTAAGGAGGATTCCCTCTTTCTCTATCTTTCAGAATAGTGTCAACAGGATTGGGACCAATTCTTCTTTGAATGTCTGATAGAATTCAGTTGTGAATCCATCTGGTCCTAAACTTTTTTTGTTGACAGTTTTTAAATTATCATTTCAAGCTTGCTGCTTATTATTGGTCTGTTCAGAGATTTTATATCCTCCTGGTTTAATCTACGAGGGTCATATATTTCCAGGAATTTATCCATCTCCACTAGTTTATGTGTGTAAAGGTGTTCATGGTAGCTTTGAATAATCTTTTATATTTCTGTGGTATCAGTTGTAATGCCTCCCATTTTGTTTCTAATTGAGATTATTTGGATTTTCTCTCTTCTTTTCTAGGTTAATCTCGCTAATGGTCTATCAATTTTATTTATTTTTTTCGAAGAAAAAGCTTTTTGATTCACTTATCTTTTGTCTTTTTTGTTGTTGTTGTTTCAGTTTCATTTAGTTCTGCTCTGAATTTCATTATTTATTTTCTTCTGCTGGGTGTGTGTTTGGTTTGTTCTTGTTTCTCCAGTTCCGTGAGGTGTGAGCTTAGATTGCCCATTTGTGCTATTTCAGAATTTTTGATGTAGGCATTTAATTCTATGAACTTTCCTCTTAGCACTGCTTTTACTATATCCCAGAGGTTTTGATAGGTTTTATCACTATTATCATTCAGTTCAAATAATTTTTTAAGTTCCATCTTGATATTATTAGTCACCCAATGATCATGCAGAAGCAGGTTATTTAATTTCCATGTATTTGCATGGTTTTGAAGATTCCTTTTGGAGTTGATTTCCAATTTTATTCCACTGTGCTCTGAAGGAATATTTGATATAATTTCGATTTCCTTAAATTTACTGAGACTTGTTTAGTGGCCTGTCTTATGGTCTTGGAGAACGTTCCATGTGCTGATGAATACAACATATATTCTGCAGTTGTTGGGTAGAATGTTCTGTAAATATCTGTTAAGTCTATTTGTTGTAGGGTATAGTTAAGTCCATTGTTTCTTTGCTGACTTTCTGTCTTGATGACCTGCCTAGTGCTGTCAGTGAAGTATTGAAGTCCCCCACCATTATTGTGTTGCCATCTATCTCATTTCTTAGGTCTAATTGTAATTGTTTTCTAAATTTGGGAGCTCCAGTGTTAGGTGCATATATATTTAGAACTGCAATATTTTCCTATTGGACTACTCTTATCATTATATAGTGTCCCTCTTTGCCTTTTTTAACTGCTGTTGCTTTAAAGTTTGCTTTGTCTGGTATAATAATAGCTACTCCTGCTCAATTTTGTTGTCCATTTGCATGGAATATCTTTTTCCACCCCTTTATCTTAAGTTCATGTGAATTCTTACGTGTTAGGTGAGTTTCCTGAAAACAGAACAAACTTGTTTAGTGAATTATTACCCATTCTGCCATTCTGTCTCTTTTCAGTGGAGCATTTAGGCTATTTACATTCAATGTTAATATTGAGACATGAGGTACTATTCTATTCATCATGCTATTTGTTGCCTGCATACTTTTTTTTTTCATTTTGTTACTGTTATATAGGTTCAGTGAGATTTATGCTTTAAGGAGTTTCTCTTTTGGTGTATTTTGAAAATTTGTTTCAAGATTTAGAGCTCCTTTTGGCAGTTCCTGTAGTGCTGGCTTGGTAGTGGCGAATTATTTCAGTGTTTATTTGTCTGGAAAAGACTTTATCTTTCCTTCATTTATGAAGCTTAGTTTTGCTGGAAACAAAATTCTTGTCTGATAATTGTTTTGTTTAAGAAGGCTAAAAATAGAACCCAATCCCTTCTAGCTTGTAAGGTTTCTGCTGAGAAATCTGCTGTTAATCTGATAGGTTTTCATTTATAAGTTCCCTGATGCTTTTGCCTCACAGCTCTTAAAATTATTTCATTCATCTTGACTTTAGGTAACCTGATGACTGTGTGCGTAGGTCATGATGTTTTTGTGATGAATTTCCAAGGTGTTCTTTGAGCTTCTTGAATTTAGATGTATAGGTCTCTAACAAGGCTGGGGAAGTTTTCCTCAGTTATTCCATCAAATACGTTTTCCAAACTTTTAGATATCTCTTCTGCCCCAGGAACACCAATTATTCACAGGTTTGGACATTTAACACAGTGCCAAACTTCTTGGAGGATTTATTTTTATTTTTTAGTTATTTTTTCTTTGTCTTTAATGAATTGGGTTAATTTGAAAGCCTTGTCTTTGAGCTCTGAAGTTCTTTCTTCTGCTTGTTTGATTCTATTGCTGAAGCTTTCCAGGGCATTTTGCATTTCTGTGTGTCCTTCATTTCCAGAAGTTGTGATTATTTTTTATTTATGCTATCTATTTCATTGAAGATTTTTCCTTTCATATCCTGTATCATGTTTTTTATTTCTTTAAGTTGGACTTCACCTTTCTCTGGTGCCTCCTTCATTAGCTTAATAATCGACCTTCTAATTCTTTTTACGGCAATTCAGAGATTTCCTTTTGGTTTGGATCCACTGCTGGTGAGCTGGTATGGTCTTTTGGGAACGTTAAAGAATATTGTTTTTTCATATTACTAGAATTGTTTCTCTGGTTCCTTCTCATTTGAGTAGACTGTGTCAGAGGGAAGATCTGAGACTCATGGACTGCTATTCAGATTCTTTTGTCCCACAGAGTGCTCCCTTGATGTGGTACTCTCCCCCTTCCCCTAGGAATGGGACTTCCTGAGAGCCGAACTGCAGTGATTGTTTTTGCCCATCCAGGTCTAGCCAACCAGCAGAGCTACTGGGCTCTGGGCTGGTTCTGGGCTGAGCCTGCAGAGTCCTGTGATGAGATCCATGTTCAGGTCTTTCAGACCTGGATACTAGCACCTGCTCTGGTGGAGGTAGCAGGGGAGTGAAGTGGACTCTGTGATGGTCCTTGGTTGTGTTTTTGTTTAGTGCACTGGTTTTGTGTTGGTCAGCCTCCAGCCAGGAAGTAACACTTTCAAGAAGGCATCAGCTGCAGTTCTATAGAGAGGATGCAAACTTGCCCTAGGGACACTTGGTTAAGTATTCAGGTTTCTCAGGCCGTGGGAAGGGCCATAGAACACCCAAGAGATTATAACCTTTGTCTTAGGCCACCAGGGAGGGTAGAGAAAGACCACCAGGTGGGGGTAGGGATAGGCATTTCTGAGCTCAGCCTCTCCTTGGGCAGCGGGTCTTGCTGTGACTTTTGTGGGGAATGGGGGTGTGGTTCCCAGACCAGTGGAGTTATATTCCCAGGGGGATTATGGCTGCCTCTGCTGAGTCATATAATTTGCCAGGGAAGCTGGGGAAAGCTGTCAGTCACATGCCTCACCCCACTCCCATGCAGCCCACGGTCTTAAGGGCCTATCTCACTCCCATCGTGTCCCACAACAGCACTGAGTCTATTTTCCAAGCAGCCAGTGACCAGAACTGAGAACTTGCCCCGGACCACGAGCCTCCCATTGAGAAAGCAAGCAGACTCACAGTTTTTTGCCATCTCAGGGAGCCTGTGGCGGTGATCCAATTCCTTCAAAGGTCTGTGGATTCTCTTGGCTTTCCTGGTATGTTCCTGCGGTAGTTCTTGGAGCAAAAGTTCATGATGTGAGTCTCCACACCCTGCTCTGTTCATCCAAGCAGGAGCTACAAGCTAGTCCTTCCTCCCATCTGCAATCTTAATCTTGTCTTCTGTGGTCTTTTAAAAAGTCAATCTTGGCCATTATAGTAAGCCCTACTATAAACTACCATAATAAGACTCTGTAGCCAAAAATTCATATGCATTGTCTTTAAGAAGTATTTTTTCAACCCCTTTAATGATTTTCAGTAATATAAGCAGTGGAATATAATGATATCATTATTTCACTTTTCAGACTTTTGAAAATCGCTGTTCTTTTATTAAAAACATCATTTTTGAATGTTTAATGCTGTGATTTTTATCAATATCAATTATCAATCATAAGCTTCTTATAATCTGAGGTCTTTTTTCTTTTTTTTTTTTTTTTTTTTTTGAGACGGAGTCTCGCTCTGTCGCCCAGGCTGGAGTGCAGTGGCGGGATCTTGGCTCACTGCAAGCTCCGCCTCCCGGGTTCACGCCATTCTCCTGCCTCAGCCTCCCAAGTAGCTGGGACTACAGGCGCCCGCCACTACGCCCGGCTAATTTTTTGTATTTTTAGTAGAGACGGGGTTTCACCGTTTTAGCCGGGATGGTCTCGATCTCCTGACCTCGTGATCCACCCGCCTCAGCCTCCCAAAGTGCTGGGATTACAGGCGTGAGCCACCGCGCCCGGCCTAATCTGAGGTCTTTAATTATGTTGCTTAATAAATAAAATAAATTGTATAAAACCAATTCAACTGGAAATAATTCTTTCTCAGCTAAAGTATATAAACGTGTTTGCTGCTTTTTAAAAACCACACAACATGGCATCTAAAATGAAATAGATTTTCAAAAGACAGTTTATTAAGTGACATTAAACAATCCAAAGTCACTCTAAGTAATATTTTATCTATTAGAATTGCACTTCATGTATGCAAACTAATACCATTTATCTTGTGAACAATTTATATGACTCAGTTGATTCATCAGGTACCCTGGTTTGAGCTTTAACTAAGCAACCTACACCTTAAAGTAGACTCAAGAGATTCATTGTAAAAATTATTTCATTTTTATTTAAAATAAATTAATGAAGTACACAGTACCATTATTACTTCGTAAAGGAGAGACTAAAGTTTAAAGAGGTTGATTTTGTCCCCAAGTAAACACACTGAAATAAGTCTTCAGATATTTAAATCATTATTTTCTCGTCATTGTGGTTGACTACCAAACATAATTGAGACTGCTATGTTAACTGTAGTGTTTTCTAATTGTTGCTTTGTTTTATTTTTTACAATGAAAATCTTCAAAAAATATACAAAATAGAGAGAATATTATAATTAATTCATGAACTTTTCACCCCATGCAACTCTTGCCCGGCTTTGACAATTTTTAAGAATTTGTCTACTTTGTTTCATCTATTTCCTTACTCATACTTGTTGGTAAAGCAAAGCCTATATACGATATTGGTACCACCACATTTATCTCTATAAAAAGTTTTCCTGAAAAAAACTAAACAAAACAAAATACCATTTCAACACCCAATAAAATTAACTATAATTCTGCAGTAACAGTCAATCCTCTAATTTCTCTGATTAACTCAGAAACAACTTTATAGAAAAAGTTTATATATTTCAGATAAGTATACCAACAAGAATGTCAATTGCATTTGCCTCTTTTAACCTACAACTCCAACTCCTCCTATTTTATCATGCCATTTATCTTTTGAAGAAACCAGACCATTTATCTTGCAGAATCTCCAAATCCTATATTTGGTTGCCCACAATCTTTTTATGACATTTAACATTTTCCCTCCACCCATTCCAATAATTCCTATAAAATCAAAGTTTGAACTATTTGAATGGATTATTTCTTCTGGGACGGGGATAGGAAGGGGTGAGAGGACACGAACACTTCAGAGGTTGTGCTGTTGTACTTCAGTCAGCATTGCATCAAGAGGGGCAAACTATATATTCATTACACTTTTTGTGATGTTAGAGAATTGATCAGTGGGTTTGGTTTTGGTATTCCCTATCTAATCCATCCTTGAAAAGAAAAGTTCTCTATCAACAATACATCCTTACAATCGGGTGGCCATGGTGACTCAAACTTGTAATCCCTGCACTTTGGGAGACGGAGGCAAGTGGATCTTTTGAGCCTAAGAGTTCAAGACCAGCCTGGGCAACATGGTGAAACCCTGTCTCTACTAAAATACAAAAATTGGATGTGGTGGCATGCATTTGCAGTCCCAGCTACTTGGGAGGCTGAGATGGGAGATTTACTTGAGCCCAGGAGGCGGAAGTTGTGGTGAGCTGAGATCACGCCACTGGACTCCAGCCTGGGCAACAGAGCCAGACCTTGTTTCAAACAAAACAAAACAAAAACAAATAATATATCCTTACAATAATGCCATAGCAGATTTGGATACTGTCCTCCTCCTTTTTAATGACTGTTCGGTAAACCATTGTATATTCAACAAGTATCCTATTGATGAGCATTTCAGGTGCTTCCAATATTTTTCCATTATAAATATTTTGCAGTGAATAATTATATGCATGTACTATTTTGTCTTTTGCCAGTATCATAGAATTAGATATCTAGAAGTTAAGTTGTTGGATCTAAGTTGTAAAAACCATCTGCATAAAAGTGTGAAAATCTACATTTTTAGAAGGATATCTGTCAAATCAACTACAGGAAAAATGTCCCAAGAAATTTTTATCATAAAGTGGTATTCAACCGAAAAAATTTTAAATGCAGTTTCTTGTTTGGTATTAGCCTAAAATAGAGTGTAAGAAAATATCAACATTGTTATTGCCTTCTTTTGACAATTGATAATATGATATTATCTATTATCCAAATATACTACATAAATGAAAATTCATCATAAAGTTTTACAACTAAAAATAACTACAGAGGTTATGTCTAATTTCCACGAATTAAAAATAAAGACACTACCATATAAGAGACTGATTTTCTTAAATGTATGCAGTAGGTCCCAACGTTCTAAAGCTTTAGTTTAATGCTATATCCACTTGAAAATGACTATGTTAAAGACATTATTAGCAACAAAAAAATTAAGTGTAAATGTTTACTTTTGCTGTCAAATATCTAAATTTGAATGGACGACCAATAATTCCTATAACCAACTTTAAAGAGAGTAATTCTGGAATTTGGAGACATAATATTTTATGCTTTAATATAAATTTAAGCCATTACAAATATATCAGGCTCCCTCAAGTCATTCAACAAAAACTTATTTACCTCCTCTCTAACTCTATGTGTGTGTATATGTTTATGAGTGTGCATTTGTGACTGCTACTGGTAATTAGTACTTTTGAGATCAACCTTATTGCATCAACATTAACCTATGTAGGAAGTGGCTAAGATTTGGAGCAGTAAATCTTAGATCCACAAAACTTCCATTTGGTTATATAAAATAAATGAAAAGTGAGATTATAATTATTGCTTTCTTCCACAAAACAGAAGAAAATATTAAACTTTTTGTTAATTATTTAACTAGAATATTTCCTATTTTGGAAAGATTTTTTTATAGTTTTTCTTATTTATAATTATCTTCCAACAGGATTTATATTTCCATAAAAGGCTTTAAAATCATTTAACGCACCCAAATTATGTCTCCATGGTACCTAGCATGTTCTTTGCATATAGACTATAAAAACTGAGGCCTGAAAAGATAGAAGGCAGCCTTAACAGTGTTTAGGCTATCAGTGAAAGCTACTGACCAGGGTAGGAGTTGTATGATATTATTCATCTCTTTAACACTTACCAGAAGGGTGAAGACTCTGTTCCTCTAAAAATTCAAGATCAAGCATTAGATCATCTTCATCCAGTTCACAAGATCCCAAATTATTCAAAACATCCTGAAGAAAAATCAAAACCAACAATTAGAAACCAAAACACTGAGTAAATGAGGAAATACTCATATGTGGAAGCCGTGAAGCAAAAATGAATTCCAAATCAGAATGAAAAGTTTTAACTGAGTCTCAGAAATCATTTGACACCTATGGGCTTTAAAATTATCAGTCCAATAAAAAATTCCAAGACTTATTCTAAAACCTCTTAACTTTTCCAATTATCTGCACATTCATTTTTTTTCTTTTTTAATGATATTTATGTAACTTATAATTAAATGGAAGTACATATGGGCAGATATGAAAGATATTAGAAGTCAGGAAATGATTTCTTGATATGAGAAATACAGGTAAGTGTTTATTTGAATAAAAACTTCTTTAGTGATATTAAAAAGGAATTTGCTCACTGCAAACACATAAAAAGTATATACACATTTTTCAAATAGAAGTCTGTGAAATGAAACTCCAGTTACTTTTTCTAATATTTATATTTCAAATGTAGGTAACATTCTTCTAACACATTTAATGAATTGTTTTTCAAACAAATTTTGTATATTGTGACAACTGTGAAATATTAATTTAGACCATGCTTGGAAGTGAAAATTTGGCTACCATTTGCCAATTATTTGTTTTACATCAGGAAGAATGGGCAGGAAAACAATCTATATTAATTCGATTAAAATTAATTATTGACTTGCATTATACCATAATATATCAGAGCTGAGATTATGTTTCCTATTTTATTTTCAAGAGGGCAAATAGCAAAATAAACTAGAAGGCTACACTGAGAAGTCTTGAGAAGAGATGGTAATGTGCTGAAGTGCACAGGCAGGAATTGCTGAAGAAGGAATAAAGTCCTGATTTGTATATTTGTATATATATAAATGGGTGATAAGTATATTAAGAAAAGTAAGAACTTATTAGAGACTAACAATGAAATAACAAATGTACAGAAAAATAGAACATCAAAGACATCAAAAAAACAGCCTAAATACTAAATGGTGGCATGCCATCTCAGGTCACTTTTCAGCTAATTCGAATGTTAGCATAATTTGTAGTTAAAGTAGTATTCATTACGGAAAGCTAATAATATTTTCAAATAGACAGTGAACACTTTAGTCCTTGGGTTTAAAAGTAAGGACACTGGGGCTTTTAAATAAACCTCTTTAACAATTCAAATTAAACATTATTAAACTTTAAAAACACGTGGGATCCATGAATAGTGCACATACCATGGTTTGAAAGGTGATAAGTATACCCAAATCTAAGTGCTTCTTTCTCCAAACGAAGGTAATGAATAACTTAAACTATAAATAAAATCACTTGTTTATTGGAAGCTCTGTTCCATACAGTGTCAGCGATAGTCCAATAAGAATAAACTACTTATCTATATACATTTAAAAATGAGAAAATATAGGCAGCAAAAGATAAGCTGTCGTACTAAAAATGCAAAACAGAAAATTAAAACAACAACAACAAAACATAATTGAAGTTGTGGAAAAGGAAAAGCTTTTTAAAGGGAGAATTTTGTGAAGACACTGATGTGAGTGTTTATCAAACACACTATCCAAATGAGAGACTCTTAACCTGGTAGTTAATAATATATTAGTCAAAATACATTTTATAGTGAAAGGATACTAATTTATCCAATTTCTAATTGGGGTAAATAATTTTACACTTGGATTTTGAATTCATGGGATTTAATTGTATCCTTCCAAAATTTATAAAAAATCCTAACCCCCAGTACCTTAGAATATGACTGCATTTGGAGACAGAGCCCTGAAAGAGACAATAAAGGTTAAACAAGCTCATATGGATGGGCACTCCAATGGGACTGGTGTTCTTATAAGAATAGATTAGGACACAGACAGCACACACAGAGAGTGATGAAGACACAGAGATGTGATGAACCATGTGAATTCACAGAGGGAGGGAAGATAGGTCATTTGCAAGCCAAGGAGAGAGGCCTCAGGAGAAACCAAACTTGCCATCACCTTGATCTTGGACTTCCAGCTTCCAGAACTGTGAGAAAACAAATTTCTGTTGTTTAAGCCACCCAGTCTGTAGTATTTTGTTATGGCAGCCCTGGCAAACCAATACAACCAACAAGACTTAGAAAGCAGTGAAGGACAGAACAAAGGAAATAAATGAATGCAAAGCACATAACTACCATTTTTTATTATACCAAGTGAGGACATCTTAGACATTGTAAACTTCTAGAAAAAGATTTTCACAGCATTCCTCCTTTTTAATTGGAACCACCCTACCCAATCCATCTAGCTATAAAGGGAGCTACCAGATTCTTATATGAGCCAAACTCCTTCTCCTTGGTGAACGGTCCAAGATGGACATCTTAACCAAACTTGGTGACCAAAGCCCCATCCCAGAAATGAAAAAAAGTCTCTGTCTGGTGATACATACTGCAAGATGCAAAACACTGTCATCACAGGGGCTATGGATTTAATTGTGTAGTCAAGACCAGTCTAAGCCTACTTGAAAAATTAAAAAATGTCATAGGTAGGTCATGTTGTTCCTGTTTCCAGCAGTTCCTGAGATCCAGAGGCATACATGATGTTTTCAAGGTGGTTGTTCAATCCTTTTTTGAATTCTGACAGTTAATACATTCACCCACAATTTGAAATAAAATTTTAAAATATTTTATTTTTTGAACAGGGAAATATTAAAATCTCTGCCACTGCTATTCTAACATTTCACATAAGACAGCAACACCAATAAAGTGAACAAACTAAATTTGGAAAATTCACGACATTGTTCTCATTTTATTTTCCTTTTGCAGGTAACACTTGACACTTGGACTAGCAGGGTTCCATTTGCCACTGGTCTAGATGAATTGCTTCCTAAATCTACTTATTCTAAATTGCCTTCCTTTGATATTGTGCTTACAAAGCAACTTTCTTGTTACTGTAGAGGAGAATCTTTGAAGCTGGTGAAACTTCATAATAAAATAACAGTAGATGCAGCAACATGATATGTTACAGAAAATAATCAATGGTGAATTCATAAACCTAAAAACATCTTTTCCAGATCTCTCCCTAAAAGACACCAATAGCAGCAACAGTCACCAATAGCAGCAACAGTCCTTTTGCCGACAGCTAGCACTGATATTGGTCAGTCCTAGCAGCTGGATACTTGCTGACTAATATCTATTAATAAATAATGCTAATAAAAATCAAGGTCCTTTACTTATCAGAGAAAGGGAAAAGAAAGAAAGAAAGAAAGAAAAGAAGAAAGACATAAAACAATGTTTCTGGGACAATCATTTTGTTGCCGAGAAAACAAAATTCACCTAAGAAAAAAATTAGTGGCTGTTTTCAAAAGCTAGATAAGGAAAGCAACTTAGATGGCTTCTCCCTAGGTAATCTCTGGCAATATGAGCATGAAAAAAAAGTAATCAGTATGACTAAATAGAATAATTTGAGACTGTTGAAGGTTAGCTTTTTTCTAGAAAAGAAAAAATGAAGGATATAAAAAGGTACTACTAATTTAAAAAATACAAATTGAGTAGAAAATTGTTAATTTATATTGGTTTTACAGTTTATATATGGGTATTTTGTTTTTCTTATTATACTTATGTTTATAAAATGTAGTCATGTATTTCCTTCTGTCTGTATAGCCAAGGATCTGTAAGTAAACCAGTAGTACCAAAAGTAGTACTGTACTAGGAATAGAAAAAACTGTTTAGCACCAATGGTCACATGTAGGAATCAGGTAAAAAAAGAAATCCAGCAATTGATTAACACTAATGATGATATCTCAAATATAAGAGGGTGCAATTATGCATTTCAGACATTTGATAAATTAGCAGAATGTAGAAGTAGAGTGATAACTAAGAAAAAATAGTTTCTCATCTCCTGGTAGATAAAATCACTAGATAGCCCTACATAATAAAGAAATAATAATGAAAGTCCATGAGTTTTTGTTTGTTTGTTTGTTTTTGTTTTTCGAGATGGAGTCTTTCTCTGTTGCCTAGGCTGGAGTGCAGGGGTGCGATCTTGGCTCACTGCAACCTCTGCCCCCTGGGTTTAAGCAATTCTCCTGCTTCAGCCTCCAGAGTAGCTGGGATTACAGGCATGCACAACCACACCCAGCTACTTTTTTTTTTTTTTTTGTATTTTTAGTAGAGACGGGGTTTCACCATGTTGGCCAGGCTGGTCTTGAACTTCTGACCTCATGTCTGCCGCTTTGGCCTCCCAAAGTGCTGGGATTACAGGCATGAAGGTTTTAATAATGTTAACATAGCAGGAACAAGAAAAGTGTTAAATAACACAAGCAAATGGGATTTAAAAAGAAAATCATTTTGTGAGAGGACACCCATATTACACAAAATTAAAAGGTGGGCTTTAACTTAAAAAAAAAAAAAAGACATAAGAGCACATAGCAAGTAGAGTTTAATTGTAAAAGCAAACTCCAACATTATGGCCAGTATGGTGGGTTTGAAGCTTCTCTGAATATACAGCAAATTCCAATCACTAGACCAAACAGTCATCTAGTTGACAACTCAGAATTTTAACATTTAAGAGATGGCTTTCATGTAGGTTTAGTTTGGTTAAAGCCTAAGAAAGTGAAAAAATGGACTTGTCTTACATTTCTGAAATCCCAGAGAAATATAAATGCTACATCTGCAAAATGTAAAAACAAGAAAAAGATGAAAAGAAATATAAATGCCTAGCATTAATACATTTGTAATCAGTTTTAATGGAAGCATACTGATTTGCTTTTGGATCACTGTAACATGTACAATTTTCTCCTTTAAAAGTGGCTAAAAGTAGGAAATCGTGTCATTTACAACAACATGGATGAACATGGAGGACATTACACTAAGTGAAGTAAGTCACGCACAGAACATAAATACCACATGATCTCACATGGGTGTGGAAATCTTAAACAGCCAAACAAACTCAGAGAAGCAGAAAGTTGAATGGTGTTTACCAGAGGCTGAGGTATGTGTGGAAAAGGGAGATCAAGGACAAAAGTACAAAGCCTCAGTTAGGAGAAGTAAGTTCTGAAGATCTGTTGTACAACATGGTGACTATTATTAATAATAATGTGTTGTATACTTGAAAATTGCTGAGAAAGTAAAATGTTTTCACCACAAAAATGATAAATATGTGAGGTGATGGCTATGTTATTTATCCAGGAAGACAAATATGATTTATTCAACAGTGTACACATATATCAAAATCATGTTGTACACCATGAATCCATAAAACAGAATTTTTATTTTTCAACTAATAACATGAAATGTCATAGAATCATAAAAAATAAAGATATATGTATAAAATAAATAACATTAAAGTGGTTAAAGCATTTAAGATAAATTGATATATTACACTGGGCATTTTAATTACACACTGGAAAGAATTTACTTATATAAAATTTAAACAAATATATAAAGGCCATCAAAAATGTTATGTAATACGTGTTCTAATTAATTGGTATGTAAGATTTATGTAGCTATTTTTAGAAGAGTTTGTTTAACTGTAAGGAAATGCTAATTATTAACAAAAGTCAAAAGATTAGTAAATTACATACTAAACCAAACACAATGTTATGAAGTATTCTCTTCAAAAGGAGACATTTACAAATCTTTCAGCCATACTGACTACTCATGTAATCTCCCAAATGACTTGATATCAAGAGGCATTAAGACTAAACTGAGTAATTATTAGTGAAGTAATTCAAGAATTAATTTTCTAAGCTCTAGGGATATGACAATGAATGTAAAGGGCATGGTGTCTCTCCTCATATATCTTATAGATAACTATATTCTAGTAAAAAAATAGCAATGCCTTTCATAAGTAAATCAAATATGATTTATAAATCAGCCCCTTATGTTTGGTTAGTGTGAATCAATTCTCCAGATCATTGTTCCTAATGGCAGAAATAATGAATTTCTGAAGCTACAGAATTGAAAAAAAAAAAAAAAAGTAAGATGTAACCATTCAGCTGGGCATAGTGGCTCACACCTGTAATCCCAACACTTTGGGAGGCTGAGGCACAAGGATCACTTAAAGCCAGGAATTTAAGACCATCCTGGGCAAAACAGCGAGACCCCCCTCTCTGCAATTTTTTTTTTTAATTAGCCAAGTATGGTGGTGCATGCCTACAGTCCAGCTACGCAGGGGGCTGAGGCAAGAAGTCTGCTTGAGCCCAGGACTTGGAGGCTGCAGTGAGTCATGACTGTGCCACACTGCACTCCAGCATGGGCGATGGAGCAAGGTCCTGTCCCAAAAAAAAAAAAAAAAAAAAAAGGAAGATATAACTATTGTATAAAGTCGGTTCCCAAACAACCCAGTAGTTTCATGAATCTCTTTATTAATATTTTTAAATTACTAAAACAGTCATTAATTATGTCTCATAGAGAAGTTATTAATCACATATCTATACTGTTATATTTTAGTCAAATAACTATCAGAACAGGCCTAAAATATCTAAGGGCAATATTTGACATGCTGCTTTGGACTTCAGTGGTTTTTTATTTTATATTTACTTGACATAGTATAACTGCTGTAATCATTGTGAGGTCTAAAAATGGAGAGGATTATTTAAATTAATAAGACGTTTACAGCCTAGTCAGCATTCTTCTAGTCATTCTACCTTACGATCAGGTGCTGCCAAGATATACATTTCCGTCTCCACTATTCCAACCATAGGATTCTACAGAGTGACTCACAGGGAAACACAGTTTTATTATTAAAACACTTGTGACATAGTTATTGTAGAAGATCCTCAGTCAAACTTCCCTGTGTCAGTCTAAACACAAACATTCTGAGACTTACCTTACAATTAATTACATTTGCCTTTTTACTTGGGAAAAAAAGAGATAAACTAATTAGGTAAGTGTCCTTAAGTAAATCACATTATCCCAGGAAGATAAATTATAAATTGCAAAAAAATGAGAGATGTACAAGTGACAAGATTTCATCATTGACACAGTCAAGAGCAAGACATAGGAATAGACTGGGTACATACAGTTTGGTAAAAGTTGAGTTGTACACACTACGTATGCAGTGGAGAAGAGAAAACAATACACCAGTAGTGCATATATTTTTAATACTGTGATTTCACTGTTATTTTTTGAAAAGACAATTAACCTGGCAATATTATATAATTACTGCTCTGAGGATAGTTATTTGGCTCTGATTTCTGGATTGCGTTAAGAAAGCATACTCAATCCTTATGATAGAATTGCCTTAAACTCTCAGCATAGCAGCCACAAAGTATTTTCACTTGTTCTTTGCTAAGTATTGATTTACCTTATGGTTTTGAGTAACTCAAAATACATCTTTCATGAATATTTTCAAAAATGTGTCTTAATTCTATGAATTCTTGCTCTGGAGGCAAGTCCCATTACAAGTCCAAAAACATATATTTTGCAAATATGAATAGAGAGCTTATGTTATTCCTTATTATAATATGATGTCATTATACATTTTTGCAAAGGAGAATATTTAGTTTGGATTGCTGTGTGTTTTTGTATTTAAATGTGAAATATCTAGCAAAATGAGATTCTGAAAGGTATGCCCAGAATTTTTCATTCTTCCTCTTATGCTGAGAAAAGGTAAATTACAATATTAATTTTTCCAAGTAGCACACTACTAAAATACTAAAACTTAAAAGTTATGCTATAATACTTTGCTGTTTAGAAAAAGCTAATATTTATATGGATTCATAATTTATATGAATTTAAACCAATATCTGAATCCATACAAAATTTAAAACTAAACTCAGAACACTTTCATTTTAATGTGTGCATGGGAATAAAGTAAATATAATTTTATTATTAAGTAATAGAAAAAGAAAACTGATGAGTATAAATATATTACTTAAGTAGAAAACTTCCTATTTCAAAGTTAAAATTTAATGACTGCTGTTAGTTTAAAAATTCATGCTTTTTTCTTTTTATCACTTAAAATATTAGAGAAGAAAAACAAAAATAATAGAGGTTCTACTCTCATGACAAAGTAGAACTAACATCACAGACACCATCTCCTTGATTCTAAACCTAACTGCATGAGTTTGTATCACGGTCAATAAAGCAATACTTAAATATTCTTTATAAAATAGTCAACTCCACTGAAAGCAACATTTCTCTTCAATAAAATACCTCAATTATACTGTAGTTCTTTGGCAGGTGATAAACATGGTAAGGGGGAAAATAATATAAGAGTTAAAATATTTAAAACTTTCACATATAAAAAAAATCTGGGAAAAGTGATTATTTCTAACCTTCATTCTTCTTTGTGTACTAGAGGAATTGAATATTTCAGTAACAAAGTGTACTTCATTACCTTCTAATCTGTGTTCCCATAAACTTCTGCCAGCCACCATTCTAGTTCCTCAACTCTCATTTATAATTTGTTCTACACACTACTCATTACCCATTTGTAAAATATAAAACCACAATGACATACGATCTCACTCTAGTTAAAATGGCTATTATTACTATTGATGTTTTTAAATTGTTTATTTTTAATTTTATGAGTACACAGTATATATATATATATATATATATATATTTACCCACTGTGTGTGTGTATATATATATATATATATATATATATATATATATATATATACCCCCATATATTTATATATATAGGGTACATGAGATATTTTGATACAAGCCTACAATGTGTAATAATCACATCAGGCTAAATGGGGTATTCATCACCTCAAACATTTATCATTTCTTTGTGTTACAAACAAAAGGGCTACTTCTTTTTCTTTTTTTTTCTTTTTTTTTTTTTTGAGACAGAGTCTTGCTCTGTCGCCCAGGCTGGAGCGCAATGGCACGATCTCGGCTCACTGCAACCTCCGCCTCCCAGGTTCAAGAGATTCTCCTGCCTCAGCCTCCCGAGTAGCTGGGATTACAGGCACATGCCACCATGCTCAGCCTTTTTTTTTTTTTTTTTGTATTTTTAGTAGAGGGGAGTTTCATCATGTTGGCCAGGCTGGTCTTGAACTCCTGACCTCAGGTGATCTGTCCGCCTCAGCCTCTCAAAGTGCTGGGATTACAGGCATGAGCCACCATGCCCAGCCCAGAAGGGCCACTATTAAAAAGTCAAAAAACAAGAGATCCTTGCAAGGCTGCACAGAAAAAGGAACAGTTGTACATTGTTGGTGGGAATGTAAACTAGTTGAGCCACTATGGAAAAGAGTTTGGAGATTTCTCAGAGAACTTAAAACGAAATTACCACTCAACTCAGCAATCCCATTACTGGTATATATCAAAAAGAAAATAAATAATTCTACCAAAAAGATATATACACTTGTATCTATGTTAATTGCAGCACTATTCACAATAGCAAAGACATGGAATAATCCTAGGACCCCATCAATGGTGGACTGGATAAAGAAAATGTGGTGCATATACACTATGGAATACCACACAGCCATAAAAAAGGACAAAAGCATGTCTTTTGCAGCAACATGGATGGAGGCGGAGGCCATTATCAACTTAAATCAGGAACAGAAAACCAAATATAGCATATCCTAACTTATAAGTGGGAGATAAACATTGGGTAATACTGGTCAAAAAGATGGCAACAATAGACACTGGGGACTACTTGGCATGTGGGAGATAAAGGGTCAGAAGGGTGAAAAACCTAACCACTGGGTACAATGCTACCTACCTGGGTGATGGGATCTATTGTACCTCAGACCTCAGCATCATGATACCCATGTAACAAACCTGTGCATGTACCCCCGAATATTCAATAAAAGTTGAAATTAAGAAATGAAAAATACAGTTCTCATTTGTATATATTCACTGCCCAACACACAAAAAGATGTAAATGGTATGTGTCTACAGAACACTAAACAGTAAATCCCTTGTTACTCAAATGCCTACATTATCTCTACCTCTGCAAAATTGATTCCTGCAGACTTTAGCCAAACATACTGCCTTCTAAAAATGTCATTTGAATTTCTTTCATTGCACCTTTACTGAGTGTATCCCCTTTTCTCAAATGCCGGTAGAGTAAACACAAGGTAATATATCTAGATTTTATTATATGACAGATTTTCTTTACAATACATATAATAGGTGCTAAAAATGCCTCATGATAATGACAGACAAGTTAAAAAGCTTTTCTCAAAAGAATTACCTTTATGAGAGCATTGCTTAAGGCCAAGAGTTGGAGACCAGCCTGGGCAACATAGCAAGACTGCATCTCTATAATACTTTTAATTAAAAAAAAACTAGAAATTAAAAAATACTTGTTTTTATGTTCAGCATGTGCTGGACTCACAGAACAGACACACCATGTGCTGTGTCCACTTAAGTAGAAGATAGTTACAAAGGAATAAATACGGACTATTTATTGTACTTCCTGCTAGAAAAGTCTGGAGAAATATAACTATCTCACTCTTTGTGCTCCATCTGATCAGTTCTTGAGGTTTCAGAGTCTCTACTGTTGTATCACTATAATGTAAAGAAAATAATATCTCATTTACCTAATAATATCCCATTATGATGTCACTAAATGATAATAATAACTCATTTAATTACAGGAAATGAGATGTCATGTTTCCAAACTATTTTGATGAAGAACAGCAGTTTCCTTTTTAAAGCATCATTTTTTATAATATGTTGGTTATTTTGATGAAAATACATTATCCAGAAAAAGCACTCATATGTAATACAGAGGAATGTTTAAAGACATTTACTTGCTATATAGCCCTATACTTGCTTAGTTGTCTTAGCATTTCCGAGTAATGCTTGCTTTTTTTCCCTAAAGTTGTCATGTCAGCCTCACTGGAAATGTTTATTTTTCACAACTGTCAGTGTGTATAATTCTGAAAATTGTATGAATTTCCCATCACGTTATTATCTCATCATATGCTGGAGTTAGCCAAAGAGAACCTAATACATTAACTTGTTAAACCAGTGGCCATAATGTTAATCACAAAGCAAAATTAAGACCTTCTTGTTAAAAATCGTTGTAGTTCTTAAAAAATGGACATTTTTGTGGCATGGATATTTTTCCTGTAATTAAGATACAAGTTTTATTCTAAGTTTATCTTTGAATATACAATACTATGAGATAAACATCTTACTAATTTATAAGTTAATATTTATCATAGGGCCAGGTGAGGTGGTTCACGCCTGTACTCCCAGCACTTTGGGAGGCCAAGGCGGGCAGATCTCCTGAGGTCAGGAGTTCAAGACCAGCCTGACCAAAATGGTGAAACCCAGTCTCTACCAAAAATACAAAAATTAGCCAAATGTGGTGGCAGGCACCTGTAATCCCAGCTACTTTGGAGGCTGAGACAGGAGAATCCGTTGAACCGAGGAGATGGAGGTTGCAGTGAGCCAAGATCACGACATTGCACTCCAGCCTGGGTGACAAGAATGAGACTTCGTCTCAAAAAAAAAAATTATCATAATATTTAAAAATAAACATCAAATGGGCCGGGCGTGGTGGCTCACGCCTGTAATTCCAGCACTTTGGGAGGCCAAGGCAAGCGGATCTCCTGAGGTCAGGAGTTCAAGACCAGCCTGGCTAAGATGGTGAAACCCCGTCTCTACTAAAAATACAAAATTTAGCCGGGCACAGTGTCAGGCACCTGTAATACCAGCTACTCAGGAGGCTGAGGCAGGAGAATCGCTTGAACCCAGCGGGCAAAGGTTGCAGTGAGCTGAGATCATGCCACTGCACTCCAGCCTGGGTGACAGAGACTCTGTCTCAATAAACAAACAAACAAACAAACAAACAAACATCACTTGTACTCAAGTGATACTTACTATGTCACTCTTGTGTCAAATAACACAGTATATAGTGGGAAACCCAAAATAATGAGATTGATAAACCTGATTTCTAACTCTGACCCAGTCACTAAAGCAGCCTTGTGAACTAAAGCAAATCATAAACTCCTTCATGCTTTTCCATAAAATGAAATATTAGAATAGGTATTACCTGCAAGCCGTTCAAGTCTAAAATGTTAACATCTATAAGACAACCAACATCTTCTTTCTCATGGTGATATACTAGCAAGAGATAGCCAAACTCAAAGTCTGAGAGCACAGTCCTCAAAACTGTCCTTGCTTTTGACACCAACAGCAAGATTGCAGGATTCACAAAACCACCCTCTAATGCAATCATTCACTGAAAGGACTCACAGAACTGGCTGAAAGCTATGTTTTTGGTTATGGTTTATTATGGAGGTAGGGTACAGATAAAATACCAGCCAAGGGAAAAGACACATAGGGTAGAAACTGGAAGGATTCAAATGTAAGCTTCTGTTGTACCCAGGACCTATTACCCTCCTGGAATTGATGTGTGGCAACATAGATGGAGTACTGCCAAAAAGGGAAGCTTGCCTGAGCTATAATGTCCAGAGTTTCTCATAAGGCTTCATTACTCAGGTATCATTGACTGATTGATTGATTGACTACATGGTTAATCTCAGCCTCCAAGTTGACTGATATTGCATGACCCAAAGCCACCATCCTAAATCACATGATTGATCTTTCTGGCTTAGTCAGCCTCTACTCTAAGATTATTAAGTGTGGCCAGCCTCCATTCTAAACAAAGACACTCCTATCAGGTATGACACAGATTACCTCTCAGAAACCGAGGGCAAAGGACAGACCTCTTTTCTTTGGCAAGGTCAAATTCTTTGTTACACATACACTATGTTTCCATAGGCTCTGCATGGCTTTCTTCTAATCTAGCCTTATTTAAATTATTTAAGCCTAAAGTTAAAAAAAGGTGCCATTTTCTATTTTGTCATATTTTAGAGCCATATCTGCAGGTAAGGAGTATCATAGAGGTTTTTTTTTAATCATTGCTTATTTTTTAAGAAAAATAAAAACAAATATTTTACTAAAGTAACATAATGTTAAAATAACCAAAATGTTTGTATATGTCTAGGTTAAAGCCTTCCTGGTTTTTCTTTATGTCTTTCCGCCAAATCTTCCATATTGAACTCATAATTCTGGTAATAAAAATTAACGTATTCCTTATTCATTAACTCTTATGAGGGCTTACCAACTAGGATAGTACTAAGTTCTGAACAATGAACAAGAAAGAAAAGTTTCCTAACCTAGACAATAAACAAATATATAAACAAATGAACAGATCATTTCAGCTACTGATAAATGACATAAAAAAACACCATATTAGTTGCAGGAAACAGCTACTTTACATTAGGTGGGCCGAGAATGTCTTTCTAAAGATGTCATTTGGGCTGAGTCAAGAATGATAAGCAGCAGCCATATGAAAATCAGAAGGAAAAAGATTCCCAAAATAGGAAACAGCAGGTGCAATTCATCTAAAGTAGGTGTGAATATTTTCTCCCATTCTGTAGGTTGTCCTTTTACTCCATTGATTGTTTCTTTTGTTATGCAGAAGCTTTTTAGATTAATTTGGTCCTACTTATTTATTTTTATTTGCTTTTGGGGTTTTAGTCATAAATCATTGGTGTAGGTCATTGTCCTGAAGAGTTTTTCCTAAGTTTCCTTTTAGAATTTTTAGGGTATTTTATGGGGTCAGGTCATATATTTGTCTTTAATCCATCTTGAGTTAATTTCTGTATAGTGAGTGATAGGGATCCAGTTTCATTCTTCTACATGTGCCTCTCCAATTGTCCCAGCACCATTTACTGAATAGGGTGTCCTCTTCCCAGTATGTTTTGGTCTGCTTTGTAGAAGATCAATTGCTTATAGATATTGGCTTTATTTCTGGATTCTCTATTCTGTTCAATTTGTGTACGTATCTGCTTTATACCAGTACCATACTCTTTGGGCTACTATAGCCTTGTAAATTGAAGGAAGGTAATGCGATGCCTCCAGATTTGTTCTTTTTGCTTACAATTGCTTTGGCTATTCAGGCTCTTTTTGGTTCCATATGAATTTTAGGATTGTTTTTTCTAATTCTGTGAACAAATGATGGTGGTATTTTGATAGAAATTGCATTTAATCTGTCGATTGCTTTGGGTAGTATGTTCATTTTCACAATATTGATTCATCTAATCCATGAGAATGAGATGTTTTTCCACTTGTTTGTGTTATCTACAATTTGTTTCATCAGTGTTTTGGAGTTCTTCTTGTAGAGATCTTTCACCTCTTTGGTTAAACATACTCTCAGGTATCTGGGAAAAATATTTACAAATGATACATCTGAAAAAGGACTAATATAGAGAATCTACAAGGAACTCAAACAAATCAGCAAGAAAAAAGAAAAAATCAATTAAAAAGTGGGCAAACAATATGAATAGACATTTTTCAAAAGAAGATATACAAATGGCCAAGAAATATATGAAAAAATGCTTAACATCACTAACCATCAGGGAAATGCAAATTAAAACTACACTGAGATCACAAGGTCAGGAGATCAAGACCATCCTGGCTAACACGGTGAAACCCTGTCTCTACCAAAAAAATACAAAAAATTAGCCAGGTGTGGTGGTGAGCGCCTGTAGTCCTAGCTACTCGGGAGGCTGAGGCAGGAGAATGGCATGAACCCGTGAGGTGGAGCTTGCAGTGAGCAGAGATCGCGCCACTGCACTCCAGCCTGGGCGACAGAGTGAGACTCCATCTCAAAAAAAAAAAAAAAAACTACACCGAGACACCATCTTTCCCTAGTCAGAACGGTCATTACTAAAAAGTCAAAAAACATTAGACTTTGACACAGATATGGTTAAAAAAAAAAAAGGAACACTTATATACTATTGGTGGGAATGTAAATTAGTACAACCTGTATGAAAAACAGTATGAAGATTTCTCAAAGATCTAAAAGTAGATCTACCATCCCATCCAGCAATCCCACTACTGGGTATCTACACAAAGAAAACTAAGTCATTATGTCAAAAAGACACCTGCACTTATATTTTTATCACAGCACAATTCAAAATTGCAAAGATATGGAATGAATCTAAGTGTCCATCAACCGATGAGTAGATAAAGAAAATGTGGCATATACACCATGGAATACTACTCATCCATAAAAAAGAATGAAATAATGTCTTTTGCAACAACATGGATAGAAATGGAGGCCACTATCTTGTGAAGTAACTCAGGAACAGAAAACCAAATACAGCATATTCTCACTTATAAGTTGGGGCTAAGCTATGGATATGTAGGGCCATACAGAGTGGTATAATAGACACTGGAGACTCAGAGGAATGGTGCAAGGAGGAGTGAGATTTGAAGAATTATCTACTGGGTACAGGTACACTATTCAGATGATAGGTACACTAAAAGTTCAGACTTCCTCACTATACAATTCATCCATGTAACCAAAAACCACCTGCACCCCCAAATCTATTGAAATAAAAATTAAAATGTAAAGTGTGTGTAAGCCTGGTCCATTAGTGGGGCATAGAGAAGCCTTGGATGACTGGAACAGAGAGGAGTGGCTCCAAGAGGAAGTTAGAGAGGAATACAGTGTCTAGGTCTTGTAATACCTTTCAGGCCGGTAAGAAGTTTAGAAATCACCAGAATGTAAGATACTCAGATATTCACTTTAGGAAAATCACCTAGCCCATTCTTCTAAGAATGCATTGCAAGAAAAAATTTTCTAAATGGATCCTAACAGCCAGAAAGGCATACATTGTTTTAAAAATAAAAAATGATGTGTGATGTTCCCCTTCCTGTGTCCAAGTGTTCTCATTGTTCAATTCCCACCTTTGAGTGAGAACATGTGGTGATTTGTTTTTTGTCCTTGTGATAGTTTGCTGAGAATGATGGTTTCCAGCTTCATCCATGTCCCTACAAAGGGTGGGGGGAGGGGGGAGGGATAGCATTAGCAAATATACCTAATGTAAATGACGAGTTAATGGGTGCAGCACACCAACATGGCACATATATACATATGTAACAAACCTGCACATTGTGCACACGTACCCTAGAACTTAAAGTATAATTAAAAAAATAAAATAAAATAAAATAAAATGATTGCACCAAAAAAACAAACAACAACAACAAAAAAAACGAGGGTTCGAAAAACTAAACAGCTTGGCTGGGCCTGGTAGTTCACACTTAATCCCAGAGTTTGGGGAGGTCAAGGTGGGAGGATTGTTTGAGCCCAGGAGATCAAGCGCAGCCTGGACAACATAGCAAGACCCTGTCTCTACAAAAATAAAAATAAGAAAATAAATAAAAAATTTAAAATAGTTAGCCAGGCATGGTGGCAGGACACAGGCCTGTAGTCCTAGCTACTCAGGAGCCTTCAATAGCAGGAATGATTGAGTCCAGAACTTTACAGTTACAAAGACCTATTATTGTGCCACTGTCCTCAAGCCTGGGCAACAAAACAAAATCCTGTATTTAAAAAAGAAAAAAAAAAGAAAGGAAGAAAAATTATATAGTTTGCTTAAGGCCATAACACAAGTAAGTGGCTGAACCAAGACTTAAATATATGTGTTTTTGGCCTGAAGAATAAAACTTTCTCCACTACGCTTCCCTTCGTGTGTGTGTGTGGCCTTTGGTAATACTACAGGTAATCTTCTCAAATACTAAGAGCCATTTCTTTAGAAGGCTGCTAGCATTTTTCCAGATGTTTGAATATACGTGAGTTTGGAAAGTTTTGAAAGAGAAGTCTTGACTTCTTTCCTTATGACTTCCCAAACAGTTATGCTACCATTTTTACTATTTTCTATGGAATCTCAAACATGTAAACTCACCTATTGGCCTGTGATTCTTTTTGCTGTAAAGTGAGGGTAAAGTTGATCGTATTATTCATGATAATCTGTAATTCATTTTGCCTATCTATAATTCCTTTTGTATTCAAATGATACTTTACTGTGCTGTTTCAAAATGTTTTTTTTAAGCCTAACCTTTCCGATTTTACTTGACATTTTCTTTCTTTTCCACGGTTGCAAATTTAGCCAAATTTCTCTTTTATTTACCCTATCCTCAATATCTAACTTATATTCTATGACTTTTATAAAGATTCTCTCATTGGCTACGGTCAACATTAATTTCTTCCCATGTGATCTCATATTATTCTTACTTGTATCATTCATTTTGAAAGAAGCTATGGTGTATTACTCACCCTTTGCAGCTCCCACAACACCTGGAACAGCCTTGAATATATTAATAAATTAATTCAGTCAATAACTATTTATTCTGGACTTACTATTTGTTAAGTACTGTGCAATAACACACGGTGTTGAAGTGTGCAATTTAATACTCAGCAATAAATAGTTGAATAAGAACACTCTAACACATAAAATGTAACATTTTTTAGTTAATGACAAATCTGCAGTTTTTAAAATAACTTTGTATTTCATTCATTAAAAGTATCATATTGGTGTCATATTAGAAAGTAATAGAATTACACTTACTGAATCATTTTTCTATTACTGTACTTTGTATTAAGGTACAGAGAAATGCAACCTCACAGGCAGAAGTAGTACATCATAGGCAATTACAGAGTGCTTTTATTTTTCTTGTAAATTAGAATTTCCCATTCATTTGAAAGACTAACTTTATATTCCATTTTCTGAAAAGAATTATACTTCAATTACTAAAATAAAATCATTGCTACCTCATCCCAGAGAAAGAAGGACAAACATTTCAGCAATATTAATATACAAACATGAGTAGTTTGGAAGTATTTTATTATCAAGAGGAATTTCTTTAGTGCTTAAGTACCTACTGATCGGTTAAGGTATAGAGTTCTATTTCCTAGTCTTTGAAGGATTAGTTTAAAACACACAATATTGACATATACTCTAAAATAAAACAAACACAGTCAAACATAAATGTATTCATAAATATATACATGTCAATATTCATTTCATCTAAAATGCAGAGAACAAAAAATATTATTAGGATAAAAAATAATTGTAGCAAATGAAAGTCAAGCTAAAATAGAAGTGGTTCATTTCTTTAGTTTGGCATGTTTGCTAACTTACCTATTTGATATAAAGATTTTCAGATGAATTTATCCCACTGATTAGATCATCACAAATGTTTTTATTTTATCCAAATCACTCAAAAAATTAGACACAAAATTGAAATATTGTTTCCTGTCCAACCACTCACACCAGTTTTTACTGCATCTAACTAGACTAAAAAATTCTAAATGGATGAAGTGCTCTACAATTAACAGAAATCTAGTTCAGTACTAAAAACCCACAGATACAAACCAGTCAATTCAAATTCATTAATATATAAATTAGTGGAATTTAAAAAATAATTATTGAAGGTATATAAATAATGATGAGTATTAAAAATAATAAGTTTGGAGAAACATCAATTAAACAAATTGAAATTTTAAATGTAATTACAGTTGTGTTAAAATTCATATTACTGTAAATCATTTTTTCCTCTGGCAACTTATCAACCCTTCATTCTCATGATTATGGACTAAGATTTATTTCTATGAACATTACTCTGGAACGCATTTATTAAGTGCATTTTCCCCCTCTTTCTTTATTTTCCTTTACAGCAACAGGATCATTACATTTCTGAAACAAAGTGACCATGATTAATACTGTGTACACCATGGTATTCTATGGAATGAAAATATTAAAAACTAAAACTTCTCAATAGTTACATATAAATTTGTTTGCATTTTATAAACATACTCACCCATATATAATATAAAATATATATGTATTCAGCCTTTTGTAATCAGCCTTTATATTTTTACAAAGCTGTTGTTTTCACCATTTTCCCGTAAAATATACCATTAGTTCCAAAATATTCTGACTTTTCAAATTTGTTTCATAAATCTGAGAAAAGTCTTGCATAAATATGAAATTAAAAAGTCTTTACATCTAAAATGAATAATCCAAAGTAATTCAGGATGTTAAAATGAAGGCCTGCCTGGTCATTCTCTTCTGCCCTAATTATCCTGCATATTAATTATCACAAGGGTGGGTAGTGGGGCACGATCAGCACTGGTTTCCCAGGCTTGCTTTCAGGTCATGGCCACTCTGCCCTCACTGAACAATCCTTGCTCATAGGAGGCACATGCTTTAGCATTGTTAGTTCCTCTGTTCTTGCTACATTCATTGAAGATTTTGACACTGGCTGGGCCAGCACTCCTGGGTGCCATCAGTGCCCAACTCTGGTCCAGGCTAGTGCCCATCTTTGTGCTCCCGCATCGTTTCCTGCTTATTTCTCACTTAGCACACAGCCCTGAATTGCAATCACTTCCTGTTTGTTTCCCTGATTGGACTATAAGCTCTTTGGGAGCAGGGAGAAGAAACACAGTACCTTGAATTTCTTAAATGAATTAACTATTAATTAGATGTCTGTCCCTAAGGAGGTCATTCCATCATAAATGAAACTCTAAATCTCACCTAGAAATTGAAATAAATTGGGAATGGTTGTCAATTTTAAGTTTTAAAGGTATGGAAAATGACAACTTTTCTTTGCATGGCTAGATCCAGATAACAGAAACCTGAAAATAGTTGAAATATTTTCAGAAAATACAAAGAAGGCAAATTTACAAAGAAGAATAAGGGAATAAATAACTTGTACATTTACAAAGTCAAACAATTTAAATGTATTCTGAGGGACAACAGCAATTTCAGTCGAGGCTAAATATTGTATCTTTCCGTACATAATGAATAAGCAAACAATCAAAAGTGAATGGAAAAGTATATGAAGACACCAATAATGATATCATATCAAACGCTTTGAACATAGTTAAAAATCATTAACTACTTAATAATTAAGTAACTAAAATATTACTTTTTAGGATTTATCAAAATTAGAACCTGAAGATTTATTTAATTTATATGTATTTTTATAAAGAGAGAGGAATTCATTTTATTGCTTTCTCACTTTAGCCACATCATACATCTGTCCTCTAAAGTATCACTTATTTTTGTTAACCACTTTTCTGAGACGTTCACAATGCTTATCACAACTACTAGTGCTTTTATTATAACCCTGAGAAGATCTTTAATATAGCTTTGATCTGTGTCCCTGCTCAAATCTCATGTTGAATCGTAATCCCAAATGCTGGAGGTAGGGTCTGATAGGAGGTAATTATATCATGAGGGTTGGCTTTCTCATGAATAGTTTAGCACCATCCCTCTTGGTACCATCCTTAGGAAAGTGAGTGAGTTCTCCTGAGATCTGGTTGTTTAAAAGAGTGTAGCAATTCCCCCTTCTCTTCCTCTTGCCCCTGCTCCTGCCATGTGAGACATCTTGTTCCCCCTTTGCCTTCTGCCATGGTTGGAAGCTTCCTGAGGCCTCCCCAGAAGCCAAATCCACTATGCTTCCTGTACAGCCTGCAGAACCATGAGTCAATTAAATATCTTTTGCTTATAAATTACCCAGTCTCGGATATTTCTTTAGAGCAATGTGAGAACAGACTAACACAATCTCCCATTTCTTATACCATATCATATATATCCCAGTGTCTGTAGAAGTTAAATTGCCATTTCTTTATTTTATAGATTTCAGTCATAACACCTTAACTCTATCATCACCAATCCTGCCTCACTCTACTGGGATAATGGCTCCTCTGATATACCATTTTTTCCTTCCCCTATAATCAAAATATTCTATCTTCTATATCACCATTAATCATGTGGGAAAGCATTGCAATCACTGATCCCCAAGCTCCTTGACAAGTTCCTGAAAGTGTGCCTCACATTGTTATCTGACGCGAGGGAAAATTTATTTTTGTTGCTTAACCTCAGAGCCTCAACTATGTCCTATAGATGGCATTAACCTCTATATTACAGCCTCCTTTGGAGTTATGTTAGAGCCATGTGGCCAGGTTTTGACCTTAAAAACATCCCGTATAAACCTTTAATACTGTCTTCCCCTGTCCAGATAGCTCAGGAAATCCACACATTAAAATGATGGGAGTACAAAATAGGGAAAGCTTGGCTCTCTGAGTCACAATATAGAAGAGAGCAGTCCTGAAGAGCTGCCGGACCCAACTGAAACTTTGTGTGAGCAAGAAATAAATCTGTGTTGCTGTTAAACTACAGAAATTTTTCATGGTTTATTTCTTGGCATTATATAGCTCAGTCGATTATAATAAATTTTCACTCTGTTTTCGCTCTTATCTGATATGCTCTCTATTCTAATCCTGTCTTTAAGTTCTGTTATTTCCTGATAATTATTTTTCTAGAAGAGACTAGGTAGATGTGTGTTCCTGTTCACATCCATGAACAATGGGATGTGGCAAGAACTGAGTTACTATATATTTAAATTAGGGGATAAAGTACTATTCTCTGTAGAGAGACATTAATAATATAAACTCATATGGGAGAAGAATTCATGTCTCAATTGTAAAACAATCTAGGGTATCTGCACATTTATAATGTACTATTTTGCTAAAAATAATAACCTAAACAACTATGTCAGAAACCAGGTGCCAATTTATAACACTAAACGATTTCTTGATTTACTTATGCAATTCTCAACTTCAAAATCAAATACATTGTCTTAGGCATATTTGACATATCACAGAGTTGCCAGTAAAATAAGCTTATGTCCTCAATGCTGGTTCAGTCAGATCCAGTCTTAAACTGTAATTTCCAAAAGCCACTAAGGATATAAGGATTAACTTCACAATGCAATTAGAAATCTCTGAACCCACTCTATCATTTGCCAGTATAAGTACAGCATAGTGAAAGGACATACAATTTATTATGAAATGAAATTCTAATTTTGACTCTGCAACCTAGCCTTGGGTCACTTACCCTCTTAAAGACTTAAGCTCTTTCTCTGTGCAATAGAAACAATCGGTTCTGCTTTTCTAGCTCACATTTGTTGTTAACATAAAATTCTGACAGAAAACTATAAAGTATTTTACAAGTACAGGTTATTAATTATTGCAGTTTCCAAGACAGGTATAGATTTTAGTTCTATCAGAGCTAAAAATAGCTGTTTCATTTACAAGCACTGAGATTACTGAAGGCAGAGGTAGGTTCAGTGATAGCAGACCTAGGATTATCTTGAAATTATTAAATTCTAAACAATGCCATAAAGAGCTGAAAAGCATTGTTCAATAAATAATACATGTTCCATAAATACTTGCCAAATGAATAAGGCAATGAATTAATGAATGAACAAATGCTTAATATAATTTGTGGACAGGGAAGAAATAAAAACTAAATGACTAGGAGAATTAGAGATGAAATTTTAAAATGGTAACAACAAAAGACAATGACACTATTTCTATAATTTGCCCCATCTTCATAATAAAAACACATTTTTTAAATGAATGACAATTATTTTCTATGAAAATTTTCCACCCACAGTTAATTTATCTAATTATCATTTATTTCCAATTATGTTTTGTTAATCCCTGTAAAAATGCTCATCTCAGTTATAATCAGATCTATTATGAAATATTACATTGAGTTACATGGGGTTTCCTACATCTTAGTAAAACATAATATTCATGAGATTGCTAATTAATACAATTTTAGTAATATTTACGTTTCCAAAAATAAGGCATGTATTCTCTGGTTATTTTGTTTAATTGAATCTCTTAGATACTATTTCTTCAACAAATTAATAGATTTTGATGTGCTACTGATATTTTCCTTGGAGACCACTGTTCTTTGTATTTACATGTTGCTGGCATAATCTGTTTTCCATTAGAATGATTTAGGATTCTGCTGCACATATTACATACAGTTTATCCAGTACTTCTACCTAATTATACTGGTGTTATACAGTATTGATGATAGTTTGGCACATGTTCAGATTTTAAATAGAATGCATTTTATGGAGCTAAATTTCAGTAAAAATGAGATTTTATTACCTAGTCATAAATGTTGGTGGAATAGAATCCCCTCTCTGAAAATTAGCTTTAACAACACATTAATATTATTTTATAACTTCAAAAATAATGTGTCTGTGAAGAATGTGTGTGCAGTGTCTGAAATTTTATCCCATCTGTAAGCTATTAGTCCACCATGATTTTGTGCATGCTAGAAGAAAACATAAAAATCCTGGTACAGACACAAAGAACTTTTCTAGATCAATAGCAATAACCAGAGTGACAGCATTTTTAGGTGCCTGTTCCCTGAGTGCCATTTTCACAGGTAAACACGAAGAACTAGATGATACTTGCACATGCTCTGGGTTGTGTTACAGGAGACAAGCACTGTATGTGTGGTGCAGGTGAAACGCAAACCTTTGATGACTGGCAGTAACCATACCTGCTGTTCATTCTGGAAGGAGACATTATCTCTACCTTCAAAGTCTGTTCACTGTACAAATATCCTTAAAAATATTATGTGAGTGCCTCTGCTTGCAAGAAGTGAAGTATGAGAGATCCATGGAGAATTGTGTCTTTAACATCAAACTCCTTCTACAGTGTCTTAACTTTTGGAGAATTTTCCCATGACTGCATCACCTGTCAGCCACTCTGATTAATCTGACAGAGGCTGGGACCATATCCATTCAATTTATCCCATAAAGCATTTAATTAAAGTTACACAGGACTGTGAGCAGCAATAAGAGACTGACTTGTAGAAATGATCTCAACCATGTGCCCCAGGGTTCCAGACACAGACAACTGGACAAATCCTACAACCCATCAGGGACTACCTTAAAAAGCCAAATGGCTTTCTTTATTGACCTTTCCACTTGATCCAAGGCATTAATCCAGGTGTACAGAAAGATGTATTAGAAATCACACAGGCTCAGCTTTGGAAGTAAGGAGAAAGTCTAGGGCAAATCTATCTTCTATGTCTGCCATGTCCAGTTAATTGAGGCTGAGACTGAATGCCTTCAAGAGCCAAAGCTATGTCACTGATTACTTTAGCTGAAGACAAGGAGAAATGTTGTACTGCCTTTTCAGATTAGTGAATCCCATTTTAGAGATAACTTCACATAGGGTGTGCAATAATAATGAAACACTCTTCCAAGAAGATCCCCTGAGTAACCACAGGCAGCCTAATTTTGAAGAGATCTCTGCAGTCATCTGAAGATTATATAATCTACTGGTGATGTTTTCCTTAAACACTTGAAGGTCAATTGTGATCACCCTATAATGCATATGACTGTGTTTTCAGAAGAGAGGCAAGTTAATTCCTGGCATCTACACAAAATGTACAGTCCCAGGGCCACACATAGTGCCCCTAGAACAAGTGTTTTTACAACTGTTTTTCCTCCCCATGTGGAGGTCAAGCTGGCAGTGCCTCCAACATGGCCTCCCAGCTGGCCAGGAAGCCTTACAGTCTCCGGTTAAATTTGAATACTTGAATCTAGTCCTAGTTTTTGGAGGGACTGCCTCAGGTTAATCAGTCCAACTTGCATTTATGTCCATGCCAGCCAGCAAATGGTATGTGTCTGCTCTACAAAATGACTGGAGACAGCTACTGAAATCAGCATGTGGAGGACATCCAGAGGTTTGGCAATGTTTTGCATGGGAGGTGGAAAATCTGGGGCAATTCCAGCTGCATCCAACAGATTTCTCACTACAATTAAGGGAAATGATTATCAAATCATGGTTAGAGTTATGTGGTGGGGCACAGAGGACCCAGCATTCAGTTAAGTTTAGGGATATTTCAGTAGTTTAAGAGAGCCACAGCAGGGTCTTTTGCTCTACGAGGAAGGATCTAGGAGTGGTTCTGAAGAGAAGGATCACGGATGGCCCTTCCTCCTCTGTACCTGTCAGGGTCTAAGTTGTTCTCTCTCCAGGTTCTGCAGTTACTCTCCTTCTACTAACACAAAACCCATGTGTCCCATTCTAGTAGCTATATTTTACTTTTTTTCCAGTCATCCCCAACTCATGCCTAGCTCTGTCATCTGGAAGGAATGAGTGAGAAAGGGCAAAGACATTTTATTAAATCCAACACAGACCCGATGTACCGCCCATTTTGGTTCATGTGGACTATTCCAGGAGGACCTAGTGAGCAACATAACCAATCTAGAAGCATGTCAGTCTAACAAAAGAATCCAGTTGGATGAACTAGAATTAAGTTTTGAGTCCCCATTTTGGCTGAGATACTACTCAGAGGGTAGATAAACCAGGCCAAAGTGAGGCTGCCAAACTAAGATCCTTTTCTGTTGACAGCTGCACTTCATGGCCAATCTTCTTTCTAGGTTTATTGACCAGGAGGAAGTGAAGGGAGTAGAGTGAGAATTATTTTTGAGTTGATTATTTAGGAGCCCATTCCAAAGCTCAAAAACAACAGATAATCGTGGATGGTAGGGAGTGTGGAAGTTCCACTGGATATACTTTAACTATCAGCCCATTAATTATTGGGGTTTTTTTGGTAATAAAAGAAGCACTAATATCAGACTGCAAAAGTCTGAAAATTAAAGTACATGACAATGATTAGTTGCAAGGTCCATAAAGGTATGGCCAAAGTCAGCTGATTTAACTGGAATAGCATTGTAATCTGAAAAAATACCATCAGCAGTGAGGTACTACTAAGTGCCCTGAGAGGAGGTCAATTGTCCAATGATGTCAATGTACCATGAGTGGGTGAGGACAATGCTTTGTGTAATTCCTCATCAGTAGTTTTTACCTGACACATATGGGACAGGGAAGTATGAGCATATAATGCATCAAATTTCTAATATATATTCAGAATGACAGCAACCAAAACAATACATAGAATTTTCCCAAAGGGCCTCACTCACAAGATTATTTTAGATTCCTTGCTCCACTGCAAACCTTGCCTGAATCCCATCAGTTGAATTGATTGTCAAGGAAATCCCCCCTCCCAAAAAAGGAGGCGAATTTGCAACAAGTCCAGCACTGTTCAAGCAGCTCTCTTTATGCACGCTTTCCAGTATTCTATCTGCTAATAACTTTCCAATTTCTCCTTATTAAAGAGCAATGAAGTGAAGGATAATTTATTGCTTGGTTGACCATTAATGTGATCAACATGTTTACTGCCAATTCTTATACACTTTCTTCAAATTCTGTTAATTGACCCACAAGCGTCTCATCGATCCTATTCTAGAAATAAAACATTTTTTATTTTCACATCCTCATAGCCAAAACTGTCAGGAACTATGAAGGGTCTAAGATTTTACCTTACTTGCAAGCTAATAAGTTAGCCTGCTACAGTTTCGTGGATGTTGGCAAAAGCCACAAGACTCCTGGGTCAGAAGGAAAAGGACTTTATTAGTCACAACTATAGCAGTATCTAGAGTATCGGCATTTTCTTTGCCAATTCAGTGCCCTAGCTCCCCCAGGGGAATGCAAAGGGGGACATCTGTACATGCAGTGGTTTGCATTACAGGAGAAGAACCATGAGTTTATAAACTCAAATATTTTACCATGGGTAGTAAACATACTTGTCCTTTGTTCCAAGGGGAGGCACTATATCTTCTATAGCTTTCCTTGTAAAAATATCCTTGAAAAGACGGTCCATAACAAAAACAGCAAGTTTACTCACAACACATGAAAAAATGCTGGAGACCCATGAAGAATTGTCTCCCATGAAAGACCTAGAATGTTCCCCCAAAATTATGCATCAGTTGTATCATTTTTTCACACTTTTTAAATATAGACCTAACTACATGTCTTAAAGCAATTGATCACTAAATAAATGACCTAATTAAAATGAAAAATAATGGAGTGATGTTTCTGATAGAAGAGTATTGTTTAACTGTACTTTCAAGGAGTGCAACTGTTTCCAGTTTCATGACTTATTATTTCACTATGAACTTTATTCCAACCATATTGCACCATATTAAGTTTGGCAAGTCTTTAATACTCTCCAGTGCTATATTTTCCACATACTAATCCCACTGCTTCCAATATTTCTGTAAATCAAGGTGATTTTTTAGTCCATAAAGCATTATTTCTAGAAAATCTTCCTCATCATGGTGGTTATGGGTCTTTACGCCCAAATATAACCCTATCATATCACTTAGAGCAATATATATGATAATTTTCACTTTATATGTCTCGTCACTTCATTACATACCATCCATAAACATACAAGCACACACACATACACTCCCTATACATCTGTAAACTCAAGGTAAATTGAGGATGAGATATCTGTTTGAGTCCTGTTTTGCTCCAGCATACTACCTAAAAATCAGTCAACTCTCAACAGATAAGTGTTGAATGGACAGATGGATGGTTGGATGCTTGAATAGTAGTGTGACTTAATAAAGTTGGGGTCCTTAATATCTTATACCATGGCTAATGCAACAGTTTGCATCTCCTTTATCCTTTTATTTCTTTAGTGTGCTCCACATACTAAAGATAAATATCTTTAAGCATCAGACTTATATCATTTCTCTTCTGAAAAAAATCATAATCACTTATAATAAAATGAGAGATTGATTCCCAGGCTATTGACATGGCATTTCAAAACCCCAAAAGTATAACCCTAATCTAGCTTTTTTTTTTATACGTTTTTTCAGATGGGTTTTCATTCTGTTGCCCAGGCTGGAGTGCAGTGGCACAATCTCAGCTCACTGCAAACTCCATCTCCCAGGTTCAAGCGATTCTCCTGCCTCAGCCTCCTGAGTAGCTAGGATTACAGGTGCCTGCCACCAGGCCCGGCTAAATTTTGGATTTTTAGTAGAGATGGAGTTTCACCATGTTGGCCAGGGTGGTCTCGAACTTCTAACCTCAAGTGATCTGCCTGCCTCGGCCTCCCAAAATGCTGGGATTACAGGCCTGAGCGCCCAGCCCCCTAATCTAGCTTTTAAAAATGATCTACTAAACATCTCTCACACCATGCTCCAATATCACTCAGATATTTCCCCTTCTGTCCTTCACTTACATTATCCTTCTCACAATATTGCTTTCTTCTCCCATTACCCACTATTTCATTGCTACTCAAATTTTAAACTTTCTCTTATTGGTCCATTCAAAGTGAGTTACCATTTTTAAACTTTTATTGAACAAATTATTTAGATTAGACCACAGAGTTATGTGGCCATATAAGCCACAGAGTGTTATGTTTTTATTTTAGATTTCAGCATCATTTTTTCCCAGGAGGAATTTGAGCTCCCTGATGGCAGAAACTAGGTCCCCCAGTCTTTTGTACTCTATGGAGGTATACAGCAATTGAAAAAAACAAGCATATCCACAGAGTTCCAAACGATTTTTGATCAGTAGTTGAACAAGTCGTCAACTTTCAGAGACCACAGGTATGGGTTAATATGTGAACACATTCTTAGATTGATCTTTGTAATTTATTTTCATATTTTCTCTTTAACATATATATAGGTTAGTGTACACAGTTTATTCATTAGTGTTCTAAATTAATTACATTCACATTCATATTTTTGAGGCCACCCACATTTGTTTATAATAGATTGACACAGGCAGTCTCCTAAGGACAGTTTTTCCCATGGCTCTCATCAAACTATTATTAGCAAGGAAATTCTTATTATCATTTGACCTGTGATATGACCCTGATCCTAACACTGTTTTTAGTTTATGGTGCTATTAACCAAGTCTGTTTGTCCACAATAAAAACAAATTGAACTAAATGATGGCTAGGACCTCTTGTAGTTCCAAATTATTCCTAATTATGATGTTGATTATAAAAACAACAGTATTTTTGTTTCCATGGTGCCTTTAAGTTAACCTTTTTCATAACTGTTTTTTTTCTTTGGCTTATTACTAGTCTTAAGGGAGTTGGTTATTATTTATTTTCATTATGTATAAACTCCCACTCATATTTTGAATAATGATGTTATCTCACAATTTCAAGTTATGTAAAATGTGCAAAATATGTCATATCTTAAGGCATAGCAATATATTTGTAAACAAATTTTATTCAATTATTCAATTATAGATGCTAGTGTAATTATAAAATATAGAATCAAAAGAATTACTTCCTGAAGAATATATTATCTATATACTTCACAATTTGTTATTTTAAAAAAAAGACAAAATAGCAATTATTTTCTGGAAGGATACTGAATTTCTTGAAGCAGAAATATTTTAAGGAGATTTATTGGATTCATTTGCTTCCACTATCTACTCAAAAGTAGATATGAACACACAACATATAAACCTATATGCAGCTGTACCTTATATGATGCAAGAAAATCAGATTAAAACTAGACAGTTATTTATAGGCAAGGTCTGGGTTTGTTTCCTGTGATAGCTTGTAGCTGCTAATTCATCAAGTTTTGTACCCAGCTGAGAAATGTAGCCTTATGAGCTGCATTAGAAAATCTAAGAATCACTAACTAAAGAAAAATGTTAAGCCATTTAAGCCAATGTTAATTCTAAACAAATATGAATAATTCATGGCCAAAGTTAAATATTCCACCTTCTGTAACTTTAAATACTTCAAAGGAAAAAGAAAATAAGTAATAAAAATAACAATAAAAAACGGTAGGACCTTTAAATCTGCAGAATCCTTTGGAACCATGGTTTAAAATGCTAGGTGCATGAGGTGTAACTTTTGAATATATTTCATACAAAAAATAATCTAAAAAGCTTTTATTCTTGAAAGGGCTCATTTAAAATGAGCTTTCTTAAAAGAATATGTGTAATAGGCTGGAAAAGGAAACACAAACCTTGCAAACCTTGTGATGTGATTTTTATAAGCAAGTCTCCCAAAGAAGACATACAAAACAAGGTAAATTATGAATAATGTTTAATTTTACTATTAAAATGGAGAAATGTAGATGACCAAAAGCATATGAAACATGTGAATCCATTTATTTTAAATTCAAGATTACAATATAACCTCTTCTTAAGGCTTCAGTAGTTGAAAGTGAAAATCCAACCTACCATTTATACTTAATTTTCTAGAAATAAGTGAAAATCAGCATACTTTTTATGGACTCCATAGCATACTTAGAAGTTCTAGAAAGCTACCTTCTTTTTCCTATAACCTTAATTTTAAAACATACTCCTCTATGTGGGAAGATTGACATCTTCACGGAAACTGCAGACGTGGAATGCCCAGCATGGAGCTGTGAAGTAAGAGGCAGGTGCCCTCCTTGCCAGGCAAAGCAGCCAAAATAACCTGGGGTCAATGTGGTGGCAGATGTCAGTGCCAGATGGCATGACACCTAATAACCAACATGTTTCCTTGTATACAGTTTCATTTGGCTTTTTTGGAAAAGTAAACAAAAACAAAACAAGAAGACAAACATTTGCTGTGCTTCTTTGAGTAAGGTTTTAAAAATAATTGTTAGGTAAAACTCCTAGTATTAAATAAAACAAAAATTAACGACATAAAAGACAATACTATTATATTCTTTGAATTTTATTTTCATCTAATAAACTGAAAAGTTTTCATTATACCAGTTAATTGTCAAGTAATATTAAGTTTAAAAGTGCTGCTAAGAAAATGCAACACATTTATCACTTCCCAGTATCTCAAAGAAACAGCAGCAAAATATTTCTTAGAGTGTAATATAAGTTAGAACTGGAGGGGTAGGTGGAGGACAAAACTTTCAGAGCCTTAAGTAATGTTAACAATTTTTATCTAAGATCTGTAAGATCATGTAGTTTTCTCCTGTGATGTCTTAATAGATACATTTATATTAGTACACTCCCAATTAATAAACCCACCTCACATTTCTGGAGTGAACTGCATTTTTGATATATTGTTGAATTCTGTTAGTTAAAGGTTTCCAAGAAAATTATTACTTCATCTAACTTCTCAAATATACTTGTAAATAAATATATCATGTATTCTAATGTTCTTTTATTTTACTCTCAATCTCCCTATATCTTCTTCAATTCTCTTTTTTTATACCTCTGTGCTCCCACTTACATGTTCTTTTTCTTCCCTTTCTTTCCCTTTTCTCTCCTCTTCCTTCTTTTCCTTTTCCTCCTCTTTTCTTTCTTCTTCTTCTTTCTTCCTCCTCATCCTCATCTTTGTCCTTCTTCTTTTCCTCCTCCTTTCTTTCTTCTTCTTCTTTCTTCCTCCTCATCCTCATCTTTGTCCTTCTCCTTTTCCTCCCCCTTTCTTTCTTCTTCTTTCTTCCTCCTCATCCTAATCTTTGTCCTTCTCCTTTTCCTCCTCCTCTCCTTCCTTCCTGTTTTCCAATTAATTAGCCAGACCAGTGGTTTTACTAAATAGCTTTTGGCTTTATTTATTAATTCCACAGATATTATTTACTGATTTTAAAATTTCTGCAGGTATAATTTTTAAAATTTATTTCTTTGGCATTCAATTGTTTCATTGTATAGGTTTTCTAATTTATTTTAGAGCTTAATTAATTTTTATTTTATTGATTAGTGGAATAAATGGTTAAGGGTTTGTATTTCTTTCTGACACAGACAGCAACATCCATAAGTTTTGCTTCTAATAATGATTGATACAAATTAAAATTTTTCATTTTATTTTTATTTGATCTATATGGAAAAGACTTTTTGGTTGTCATTTAAATTTTTTTAGTAGTGTGTGTGTGTGTGTGCGTATTTATATGATGCTATGGATAAAAATAAAACAGAGATAAGGAAGGCGAGGTAGACAAGTTTCAATTTCATATATGATGATCAGGAATGGCCTAATTGAGAGATGACATTTGAGTAAAGACTTTGTTTTTGTTTTGAGACAGAGTATCACTCTGTCACCCAGGCTGAAGTGCAGTAGTGCCATCATGGCTCACTTCAGCCTCAAACTCCTGGCTCAAGTGATCCTCCTGCGTCAGCCACCCCAGGAGCTAAGACTACAGGTGCACACCACAATGCCCAGGTATTTTTTTCTTTTGTGGAGACAAGGTCTTGTTCCCTTGACCAGGCTGGTCTTGAATCCCTGGCCTCAAGTGATCCTCCTGCCCTGGTCTCCAAAAGTATTGGGATTACAGGCATGAGCCACCATGCCAAGCCGCATTCCCTTTTTTTAAGCAAAAACTTATTCATTCATATCATGGTTGACAAAATTTCATTTGTTTTTGGTTTTTCTCATAAGTGCTCATGGGTCCATGGGAGGGAGTCACCTTGCCTGAGTTTCTGCCTGTTTAACAGCTTGTCTTTATTTGAATGACAACCAGGTATTTATAAACTCTCAGATCACACTTTCTGTTCATCAGAACTTCCTATCTGTTAATTTATTAATTTATAGCATTGGAGTGTTCTTTTGTAGAAGTCTGAGAAACTTCATAATTTTTTCTGAGGGGCATTTGAGTTTAATGCCTAAAGTTTTTATGATTATTTATTATTGAATTTCAGAACCTAACAGGAAAGGCCTGTTAAACATTTTGCATCAAATTCCCTAAAATACTGTAAAACTCTTTTAATCCATATATTTTTCTTTTTTTCAGTAATTTTCTATATTAGTAAATAGTTGAGGATTATTTTCTGCTCAAATGTGTTAACTTCTTTATTTCAGGGACCCCAAGCATGCTCATTTGGAAAACTCTGTCCATCTAGTTTGTCCTTTTTACATGTTTTAATTGCTGGTACTTCCCTCTGCATTCAACCGGACTGTTTTCTGGAACCTTTCACCTCTGTCACCAACTCCGTTTTCAGTCATAATTTTCATGTTTGTTCTTATATTTAATTACTTATTCTTGCAAAGGTCTTTCTGTTTCATTTTTTTCCTCATTTTATATTCTTAGCTGTACAAATTCTGCTTTCTTTTGTGCATATATTCTTTTGTCTTTGTGGCCTTATTTCTAAATTCTTTCTTCCTTTACTTATTTTTAAATTCTTTTTTTCTTTTAAGTTTGTCTAAAGACAAAATATGGCTAGCTAAAACACAAGCACTATTTGCCAAGCACTGTTTTCCATATGATACCACTACTAATTACATACAAATTCTGGAGGAAAATGTTATTATTATTATTTCATGTTACCTCATATTATATATGAGGACACTAAACACAGAAACTTTAAGTTATTGTACAAGATCATAAGGGATCCCCGGCTTATAAAGCCTTCATGCTCATTCGCTACCCTAAAATGCATAGCACTTTTTGTAGGGAATTTTCTTCTGTTTGTAGTTGTTTTTTTCCAGAACAGAATATTTGTCATTGCTTCCAGAATGCATTTTTAAATGTTTGTTTGTTCCACTCTTTGTTACCGTCTCTTGTCTTTTTGCTTTAGTAGTGTTAGTTATCACAATTCTTCATTTTATATCTCTCTTTGGTTTTATTAATGCTGACAATTCTCTCAATACCATGTAATCATTCCAATGAGCGCATGTAAATTTTCATTGGCTTTCCACAGTGATTGCTTATCTACCCCTATATGCTTCATTTTAGAGACATGGTATTGTATGCAAACAGGTTAAAAAATATTTTGTTTGTTTTGATTTTGTTAAGTTATACATACCTTTTATTAAATTTCGTACTAAGGGAATTCTATGATCTCTCTTTATTTGGCCATCACAAAAGACTCCTACTCTACACATGGTTTCTAAGAATATCCACTTATTTATTTAGTTAGTTCAACTATTCCATACAAAATTAATGAAATCTCCTGAACTGTGTCCCTTAAATCCAGTTTTCACTGGGTATACTAAAAACCCAAATAATTAAACACTTACCTCAAATGTTGTGTTTAAAATACACAATGGGTTACAGAGGCTGGAGGTGGGGAGAATGAGATGATGGTCAAAGGGTACAAAATCTCAGAAATGTGGGATTTTTTTTCCCTTTTGAGTTCTATTGCACAGCCTGGTGAATATAGTTAATAATAGAGTATGCACATTTCAAAATCTAAATTTCAAATGTTCTCACCATAATAAATGTTAAGTATTTGAGGTGATGGATATATTAACTGGCTTAATTATTCCACACTGTATTCATAAATTATAACATCACTTTGTACCCCATAAATTTATACACTTATGAATTGTTAATTTACAATTTAAAAAGTTAAACCCAGTTCTCTGTTAGAAGAAAAAGAGAAAATACACACACAATGATATTGATTCCAAAGTGATTAAGATACTAACATCTTTGTCTTCAGCTGTTATAAATGAACCTGAATAGAAAGTAGTATTTGCTAAGATATTTATTTGGAAACATAATTATAATTTTATAAATGCAATGACTAATAAGAATAACATGAATATAATGTCATGATAGATATGCTATTGCTATTATTTTAAATCTTACTGTTACCATGGCTATGAATACTGAACAGCTTTACTGGTAACCAAGGTTTCAATCATACTTTGATTACGCCTGTTATAGAAATATTGAGCTTCATGTTTTTTTGGCATTGAAATGTAATATTTGGCTATGGCTACTACGAAAAAAAATCAGACAAAAATGCTGTAGTATGCAAGAAACTGTTATTCTATATACTATTAATTTTACAATAATATGCTAGAAGGAAAACTAAAACAAAGATAATCTCACATGTATAATTGATAGCAAGGTCTTTGCCCATTGCAAAAACAAATGTTTGCTCACTTATCGATTATGATTATCAAGCAGGAATATTTAAATATGTATTTACTTTAAACATGGTTTAAAAGACGAAATCACCTTCCTTCTCTTAACTCACTCAGACTTTATTCACAGTTCAACAGTTGCTTATATATTTATGGTTTTCTGATTCTTCAAGTATTTCAAAATAGTAAGTATTCAAAGGATTGTCTTGTCCAATAACCCTTTGCATATCCAGTGTTTACCTATTAATTTTGAGCATCAAATAGGAGCCTACAAAGCAGTGAATTAACTGACAGGCACACATGAATTTTAAAATCATCCTATGTACATACAATTGTTTAAAAATTATCACGAATTCCTTAAATTATGATCTTTAAAGTCTGCATATTTTGATTAGTTCAAGTAGAAATTGAGAAGGAAATAGAAGGAACATATTAGAAATGTATGTATATATGTGTATATGTATATATGCACATATATATTTATATACATATGTAAATATGGTATTAGAATACACACACATCAACATGAATTGGGACAGCCAAATGGGATGTTATAAAAATATAAAATTTATGTTGCTCATTGAATTCTGTATTAACCTTATGTATTATGCTTTAAATTTTTCACATTAAACACAACTGAGACTGTGAAAATCTTCTGTGAATACTAGCTGTAGGCTAAAGCACACACTAAACTTCAAACTCAAAAATAATTTCCTTTTATCTTTTTCCCCTCAAAAATATATGCAATACTACTAATTTCACTGATTGCAATATCAATTAAAAATCTGCCATAGGCTGTCAACATCTCATATATTTTGTCCTGAGTTTAGGCCTTCAAAGTTCCATACTGATGGTGTTTCTTAAAAATAGCTATCATTAGGTTCTTTATCACACCATGAAATACTGCTGTAAAATGTTCAGTCATTGTATGGATTAATGAAAAAAAAATAGGTTAGTTTATAATTTTTTGTTTCATATTTTCAAAATTTTATTTTGACCTATAAGATTCTCTTTTATGTTTTTCTTTTCAGTGTGAGCTCCACATTTAAGAACTTCCCATTTTCAGGCATTAACTGCCTTTTACTTTGTTTAATATCTACATCATCACACTAACTGTCTTCTTTACAGCAATCAATCTGGTAGGCACAAAACATTAATATTCCCCAACTTGTGAATTAGGGCTGAGTACATAGTAATAAAAATGCAATTTAAAGTAGAACTGACTACATATTTTTAAATATCAAACTACTTTAATGCTTTTTATTATATAAACTCTATACAATGTTTAAGCAGATTTTTGATAAATATATATTTGGCTTTACATTTTATTCCATAGCTTATATTTTCACCAATGAATAAGTTGAATATCATATTTTTAATTGCAATTTTCTTCTAACTTCTAAAATCAGAACACCATCAATTTTAGTGATTCCGAACCTTTCATTTTCATTTGGCAATTCATAAAATCTCCACATTTTTCTATTTAAAGACACTGAACTTAATCCTTGGAATAAAGAGGATTCAGTTAGTGGGAAAAATGTGAGTAGAGGGAGACAGATGGTTTCCTGAACTTGGGGGAGAGAGACAGACAATTTGAAAAGGCTCAAGTATTCTACTCCCCACACCCCTTTATGGTCAGTCCCTGGGAATGTATTTTATTGTCTATTTCAGGGTAAAAATGTAGGTGTTACCCAAAGATTATTTTTAGCTTGAATATAAAGCTCTCTCCTCCCACTATGTTTCAAGAGAAGAAGAAAGACTTGGTAAACCCAATTTACTAAAGCAAAATCATTTCCTACTTTTTTTTCTTGCTCTTGCTTTCCAACAATAAAGCAAACTTTCACATAAAAAAATGCTCATTTTCAAAAGCTAAAAAGGCAAAGTTGTTCCCAAACATTTTTTATGGGATACCACAAAAGCATAAATATTCACTTTACATTACAGAATATAATCCCATCTTTTTGCAGAATGAACATGTATCTATAGGAAAATTTTTCCACACTCTACCTGGCAACATCAGACCACTACAGAAAGGCTCTGCTCTAATAATGAGTGGGAAAATGAAATGGATACAATTACTGAAAAATAAAATTATAAGATACGTTAAGTTTAAAACTGTAGGTCATATTTTAATAAAATAATGTCACAGTTTTCTGTTTCACTTGACAATTTTCTTTAGCTTCTTTGGAAGGTACATGCTGTTATTAAATAATCTTAAGATTTTTTTTTTCTTTCTGCCCTTGAAAGTCTTTATTTGCCAAATCATGGTAGGCAGCCAAGTTGCATTTGGATAAGTAGTCTTTTTAGAATAAAACTCTCAAACACATGAGTGCACTTAAAGTCAGGAAATATAAAACAAAGAGAACCCCCCAACAGATCTGGTGTACTTTAGGTGCCACAGTGATATTCATTCACCAATTTATGTGGCAACTATTATATGTCAAAAAGTCTATGATTTTCTCTTCAGGATTAGCAATGCAAAAATGAAAGAAAAACAAATTTAACAGAAAAATTAAATATATTCTTGGTGTCAGTGTGCGTACTATTTATTTTAAGAAGGCAACAAAATCAAATGACTACAAAATACTATGACAAGTGCTTGATAAGCAATTGACAAGGAGAGAAGCAATCTAGAATTTGTAGAAAATTAGAAAACAGGAACCACAGCTATTTCGACTCTATGTTCCTTTGTTCATATTTGTCTCAGCTTTGCCATATTTTACTGTATAATCTTAGGTAAGCTTTCTATAATGTAAAAGAGGGATAACAGAATTATTGTGTGGATTAATGACTTAATACTGATAAGCTCATGTCAGTACAACATTAAATGTTTAATAAATAAATATCCCAGATCCATATTCACTCTAAATAATAATATAAATTTACTCAATTTGCAATTATCCAAGAGCAAATCTGTAAGTCTACAGATTGACAAAATAAATGTACTCACACAACTTAGAAAGGCATCCCTTGTATGAAACTATTGATATTATACTGTTAACTGCAAAGGAGGAAGCCTGGTTCATTGTAATCAGAATGTAGCCCATGGAATGATACCTTTCTGCTTTACCAGAAACTCCTGGCAAATCAAAGAAGAGTAGACTGAGGATCAAAAACACAGAGGGACGTCTGTGGCTATGGTAGCCTCTCTGCAGAATCAGGGCAAGAAAAGTGGAGAAGCCAGCGGAAAAGGAAAGAAATATTCAGGCAGCATGTGGGTAGGACTCTTTTCTAACTAATTTGGTCCCATTCTAATATTCCAATATTCTCCTTTTCTGAAGAAATGAGATTTTGAATAAGAGCTAGAAATCAATATGTGATCATTCTCAATTACACCTAGCCTTTGGTTTTTCTAAAGGAAAGAATTTATGTATTGATTAATGCTTCTAAACCATTTGACTAGCATCATTTTTACATTTGTGGTGATATATGAAAAACACTAAATGTTTTCTTAAATTCTGGATGTAATTTTAACTGTATAAGTTTATATTAAATACCTTCAGCATGTCATTTTGGCATTCTGAATTGTTTTTCACCAAAACTTTCTCTATTGCCCTACACCCTATCAAGAACTGTAAAGGTTGTGAGATTTTACCATGCATGACAGTATTATCGTCCAAAATTTAAATTTCATGAAATAATTTCATGCATGTTGACATAAGACACAAGATCCCTGTGTGAGAGTCAAAGAACTTTACTACTCATGGCAACAATAATAACCAGAGTGTCAGTATTTGCTTGGGTTCTCTGAGCCCTAATTTTCATTAAGGTAACACAAGAGAAGAATCCTGAGCTTGAGACTCAGAATCTTTTAACGTAGAAAGTAAGCCTGCCTGACTTTTGCACTAGAAGGACACATTATTATAGTGGAGAGTGAACAACCTGCTTTTTGCTCAAGAAAGAAACTGTATATATCTTCTAAACAGACATTCCTATATAAACTTGCCTGGAAAGGTAGTTTGAAGTTGAAGATAGTCAGTGCCTCTGCTTACAAGACTTGCAGAAACACAAGAGACTCACAGAGAACTGTCTCCCATTATCCCTTGGCTCCACCATAATATTGGTTAATTGTTCATTCTAAACCAAATACCACATGTTATCACTTAAAAATGGCAGCAAAACATTGGGTACATGTGGACATAAAGACTGCAACAATGGGCACTGGGGACTGCTAGACGAGAGGCAAAGGAGGGCAAGGGCTGAAAAACTACCTATTGGGTACTGTGCTCACTACCTGGGTGATAGGCTCAATTGCACCCTAAACTTCAGTGTCACATAATATATGCATATAACAAACTTTCACAAATACCCCCGAACCCAAAATAAAACTTAAAATTTTTTAAAAAGAGTGTTTTCTAAGTCAATTTTGAGGCATAGGCCTTCTTGTCCAATTTGGACATAATCTAAAATTCCCAGAGAAATAGTCAAAAAGGACAAATAGAAGAAAGTAAGTTGTAATTTTATTTTAGTTAGATATTGTAAAACAAATGGAAATAGAGAGGGAGAGGTGGAGCAGAAGCAACATGGAGAGCAGTAGGATTTGTACCACTCACAATAGTTGCTAATAATTATTGAGAACCTGCTATTTGCTGAAACCTGAGGTAAATTAATAATTAACTTTTTAGCTACTATCATAAACTATTTCTCTACTACTATAGAAACCATCGTATATGTTTAAAGAGTGCCTATCATTGGGAATGAAAAAATATAGATTGTCATTTCTTAGGAAAACAACATTTGATTCATTTTGAGAAAATTAGACTCAAAGTATGTTTAGATAATGTCACCTACAGGTCCTTTAAAGCCTTTACCTAGACAGAATGAACTATGGATGTACCATTGTAAATTATGTAAATTAATATCATAAAAATCATTCAATTTTATTTATCTTTATTATGGTCTCAGAGTAAATGAAAATACTATGACAAAAGTTGTGCACTATAAAATAAACTAAAGTTGAGTACTGCTTGAAATGTCTAATTTATATCAGAAGGTATACAATCTTTTCTTTGAAAATATGGTGATCTTTAACCGTATGGTAATTCATATGCATTATGTTGGCCATGAAGCATTATATTGACCATGATCAGCTAGGCCAATGGATGTTGACAGAAATACATCCATGAACAACTCTTTTCTGCAGAATGGACTCTTAAACCTCACCAGACAAAGACCATAAAAGAACGACGAAGCTTCTACGTTTCCAAGCTCCCTTGGACGCATCCCATGTGGAAGCTTTTTTTTTTTTTTTTTTTTTTTGAGACGGAGTCTCGCTCTGTCGTCCAGGCTGGACGGAGTGCAGTGGCGTGATCTCGGCTCACTGCAAGCTCTGCCTCCCGGGTTCACACCATTCTCCTGCCTCAGCCTCCCGAGCAGTCTCCCCATTCTCCTGCCTCAGCCTCCCGAGCAGCCTCCCGAGTAGCTGGGACTACAGGCACCCACCACCACACCCGGCTAATTTTTTTTTTATTTTTAGTAGACACGGGGTTTCACCGTGTTAGCCAGGATGGTATCAATCTCCTGACCTCGTGATCCGCCCGCCTCGGCCTCCCAAAGGGCTGAGATTACAGGCGTGAGCCACCACGTCTGGCCGTGGATGTTTTTTTATTATAAGAATATTGTGGCCGGGCGCGGTGGCTCACGCCTGTAATCCCAGCACTTTCGGAGGCTGAGGCGGGCGGATCACGAGGTCAGGAGTTCGAGACCAGCCTGGCCAACATAGTGAAAACCTGTCTCTACTAAAAATACAAAAAATTAGCCAGGCGTGATGGCGGGCACCTGTAACCCTTGCTGCTCGAGAGGCTGAGGCAGGGAATCGCTTTAACCTGGGAGGCAGAGGTTGTAGCAAGCCGAGATCTTGCTCCCACACACCAGCCAGGGCAACAGTGTGAGACTCCGTCTCAAAAAAAAAAAAAATTATATACATATATATATATATATACACACACACATATATATACACACATATATATACACATATATATACACACATATATATACACATATATATACACATATCTATATATAAAGTTTTTACAAGTTATCTACCATAAAACCATAGATAAGACTGATTTATTTATTTTATTTATTTTTATTTTTTTTGAGATGGAGTCTTGCTCTGTTGCCCAGGCTGGAGTGCAGTGGTGACATGTCGGCTCACTGCAACCTCCACCTCCTGGTTTTAAGCAATTCTCTGCCTTAGCCTCCCAAGTAGCTGGGATTACAGGTGCCCACCATCACGCCCGGCTAATTTTTGTATTTTCAGTAGAGATGGGGCTTCACCATCCTTGCCAGGCTGGTCTTGAACTCCTGACCTCATGATCCACCCACCTCAGCCTCCCAAACTGCTGGGATTACAGGCATGAGGCACCGCGCCCTGCCCAGAGGACTGATTTTATGTACTCTAAAAGCCATGCTCCAGAGGTTATATGCTCAGTATGTAAACTACTAGTTTTGGCAAATAAATAAATGAAAGAGGTATACTCTACTGAATTTAAAAATGGTTTCCAAAAGTACACAGTTATAACTCATTTTTATATTAGCTTACAATTTTGAAAGCATTCTCATATACTATTTTTATTTAAATTGCTATATTAACATTACTCCCCTTTTTGAGTACTGTGGACTAACAATAGTCTCTCTGGATGGTCTTTTCTTTCTGTTGTTCCTATTCAAAACTTATTGCTCAGGCTCAACTAGACTATCACCCCTTCTGTTAATCTCTTTCAGCAACATTTAGGCCTGTCATATCTTCTCTCTGAATTCGTAACACATCGTGCCTTATGATGTTCATTTGGCAGTTGGATACATGATACCATGTGACACCAGATTACTGTCATCACATTTTTAAAAGTATCTTTTCATGAATTTTAGTCAATATATCTCCAACTATATTCTGAGTAACTTATGGATGAAATGATCATTTATAATTCCTGGCATGCTCTACAATGACTTAAGTGCCTTATAAAGTAATGAATGAATATTTGTTGATGTTTGTGATTAAGCATTCATAACTGGCATCCCAACCAATAGAGTCAAAAATGACAATTCCCTGATGCCTGTTTGCAATTTATTAACTCAAATTATACTGACATTTTACTAAGCTTATTTTGTTACAAAGGTTTAATATTTGTTTCTCCCCCAAATGTAATCTTCACAAAACATCAAATATACCATATTTAATAATATAACTCATATTTTGTATTATAAATACAACAAATTTGGCAAGACCACATAAAATATCAATTTAATCTTTTCTCCTAATAAAATGTATTTAAGATATGCTTTTAAATATATAAGTCCACAAATTATCATCAAGTGCTGGATAAAGAAAATAACTGACATTTACTGAGAATTATTTTGTACTCGCTGCTGTTTCTAAGTACTTTCCATGTACTAATTAATATCAATACTACTATCAGGTTTGAAGTGAGGAAAATGTGATTAAGTAATCTGACCAAAGTCATACAGAGCTAGTTGGTGGTGGAGGATGTAAAAGTCAGTGGAGTTAGCTGACTAGACTAGAGACAGAAGCACTTTGACTACATGGAATGTGTAACTTCATTTTAAATCTGAATCATTAACACTCAAGTAGAGGTAATATAAATGTGTACTAGACAAAAGTTTAAATAGATAAACAAAAAAATCACCATATTGAAGTGAATATTTGATGTATTATTTACTCCTATTTTTAAAACATCTTTTGTCAAAATATCATTTTATAATATCATTTTCCTTATAGTTACACTTCAGATAAAAACTAAAAGTTATCTCACTAAAGTTTTATTAATTAGGTTTTAAAACCAAGTGAGTTCCCAAGGACTTCATATTTTTTTTAGGGACTTTATGGAAGATTGATTTAATTTGGGGGATAAGGCCTTTTAACAATAAGGACAGGAGTAACTATTTTTTCTTTCTGACTATAATATTTTGAATATCATTTGTGAGATTTGCTTTCAGTAAAGCTTTAAAAACTGAGAAGCAGGAAATGCCCTTTTACTGCTTCTTGCTAGCAAAGAAGCTGACACGATAGTTTTAGAATTGACCTTCTAAATCATTTCAATTGGATAGAAGCAGAAACATTTATCCTGATGTTTGAGGTCAATTATTTTTGTGGTACACACCATGATTTGTCAAATTTTAAGTTTGTTACTTGACCTCTTAACTAATGAATGCACATTCCTTTTTTAATACAATTCCTGGTTACCTTTTCCTATAAGTGAAAATTCTATTAAAAATGATGAAAGCTAAAATCCTTCAGAGTCATGAATTTTAAAAATTGGAAAATCCTGATTTTCTCATTTCCCAAGAGTATCTCTCCTCTGACGTGTAACAATTTTACTATGTTCCATTTGGTTCCTCCACAAAACATTTCTGAATCATAACCTCTGAGGTATTAGCAGAAAATAAGTCTCTCATAATTCATGGTTTAATTGAAAAGTTTACTTCCACCATTACACGGGAAATCAAGTATAAAAAAATCACGCAAAAAGACTGACCTTACCAAGTGCAATACTGCCATCAAGTGGACCTCAATAAGACTAACTGCACAGAATTACTAAATGCAAGTTCCTTTGATAAGTGGCCTATACCTGCTATGGGGAACTATGATAAACATGCATAATATGGTTTTTTAAAACCATCTCAGAAGTGATTATTAAGTAATATTTTGCACAGTTATGTAATATAACACTGAAATTCTATAATTAAATAAGGGTTGCATGATAAAAAGGCCAAAGAACATTAAATTCATCTCCAATTATTTCTTTTTCTATTGAGTTAAAAGAGGCAGGCACCACCATTTTTACCAGACCCGCAAAAAGTAGTTTTATAATATACTTAAATATTCCAAATACATTTGATTGATAGGAATGTTTTCTGCAGGTCTATTTATGTATACATTTATTTCAACAAGCTCACTTTATTTCCCTCTTAAATCCCCTGAGTTTTCAGAATCTGTAATACAGAGAATCTTAGTAAGTTATGGTGTAAATATCAGACAGCTTCATTGATATTTTCTAGCAGATTAGATACTATCTAAATTGCCGTCTAAAATAGTCCCAGAAAATATTTAAAAATAAAAAGGTTACAAGATTAATGCATGAATTTATATGGTATCAGTATTGGATACATAAACGATTTAATAATATTAAAATGCAACAAAAATAAAGATCGTAGCTAAAGTTTATTGTCTCCCTATAAGATTTTAAATTTATTACCTCACTTAATTCTCACTTCATATCTATGAGGTAGGGATTATTATCCTGATTTTGTAGATAAAGAAAATGAGGCTTACACATTTTAACCTGATATTCCAATGTCAAATAGCTAATAAATGTTTAACATAGTCTCATTCCCAAACACTAGTTGTTATTCAAGACACTGTAAACTATAGAGTTTAATTTTTTACATAAAATACATATAGTTGTCTATTTCAAGAAATGTTATAAATACAATCATTTCAATATTTATGATTTAAAATAACTACATATATTGCAATCACATTAAGATAATTAGTTCATCCAATTCATAACCAATGAAAAATTAGTTTTTAAAAGGAAAGCTGTGGGATGGAAGAAATGTTATAAGACTTAAAATATTAGACGTTATAAAACAGTATAGCTACACAGACATTACAATGTCTAAACACAGAATAGATATATATAGTGTGTTTGATATACTGTAAGTTGGGCAAACTATTAATTTTATTAAAAGAAACCAGGAAATTTGTCAGGATAATTACAGAAGAGTTCTTGTTAATTACATACTTTTATAAAGATACACGATGTCAAGTGAATCAAATGATACAGCTAAAAATTTCTAAATATAATGATTTGTAGTTGGCCAATTAAGACAATGGACTTTTCACTAATGCCCACCAAATAAGCCAATTCACATTTGCCTATTTCTAACATAAAAGTAATCTCTGTAGTCTGGCAAGGGGATAATTTATATTTACAATAATTTACAATATCCCTTTGGCAGCCATAAAGTCCTTGGAAACCTTTACTTTCCAATTTGTTCAGCAAGTGCAGAAGTCTGTATATTCCATCATAAGTGGCATTAAATCAGCATCTGAACAAATGCCAAGAAGCAAGGTGATTTTTCTGTCAATAATGTTGTAAAATATATAATTACAGATTAAGAAGAGTAATAGACCTGTTCATATTCTCTACTGTCTATGGCACAGAGGAAGAAGTCAGTCTTTAGAATCTTAACACAGAGCATCCTATCTCAGCTTCCCTATGTAGCAGGAGTATGTGGGAACCTCAACAAGTTATTTGACTTCCACCAAACATGGATTTTCTGATATGAAAATAGGTATGGTAACTCATTTTATTTTATATACATAATGCTTACAGACAGATTTTAACAGCCTTTATAGGATTACAAAAAGTAAATAAAATAAGATTATAAATTGCATAAAGCAGGAGACCTAACACAAAGTAAGTTAAAAATCTATGCCAGCTGTGTAATAGGAATGCTGATAAAATTAAATACTGTTTCTTTCTTTCTTTTTCTTTCTTTTCTCTTCTTTTCTTTCTTTCTTTTACTATAATATATCATTACCCACTTCCTTCTGGGAAATGTATCTATTTGATAAATAGGAAGAATGTGTGCCATTATTCCAAAGAAACAATTTATAGCATGTGTATTGTTTTTAAAGAGTAATTTCCTTTTTATAAATACAGCTTAATATATTAGGTAAAGATTTGAGTCTTATCCAGAAGTCTTCAGTCTGCATATTACTTAACTGTTTGTTCTTAGGAAATAAACTATTTGAGGCTCAAATACTCTTTTTTAGTAGAGTTAATGAGATAGACTAGAAGAATCAAATGGTAGAAACAAGGAGAGTAATATGGCACTGAGGGATTAAAGAAAGCTTTGTATTAAGATAGAAATTTATTTCTAGTTACAAAACACAACCACCACCACCACAAAGAGCACTGGGAAGGAGAATAAAGAAACTGAGAAAAGCCCGCATTTGCAATATGGCAAAACTTCTAATAGAGATAGAATCGTTCCACTAGGAAAAAAAAATCAGAAGTTATCTAAATTCTATTTGAACATTTCTAAGGCCACATGCTAGTTGGTTCTTGTAGTACTTAAAATGATAAAAGTCTGTAAAAAATACCTAGCACGAGAACCATCAAATGGAAGTCATTAATACCTTTATTTAGTTATTTTTCTTTTTATTTCAGATGTATTGGGGTATAATTGAAAAGTAGTAATTGTATTAATTTAAGGTGTACAATATGATGATTTGATATACATACACACTGTGAAATGAGTACCATAATCAAGTTGATCACACAGTTACTATTGTGCGTGTGTGTGTTTGTGTGCGTGTGTTGAGAACACTTAAGACATACTTTCTTAGGAAATTTAAACTATACATTACAGTATTATTAACTACTGTCACCATGCTGTACATTAAATCCCTGGAACATATTCATCTCATGTTATTTTATATACATAATGCCAAATATTTATATTCATCTTAGAACGTTTATACCCTTTGATCAATATCTCCTCATTTCCCTAGCCCCCTAATCTGCTGGTAAACACTGTTTACTCTCAGCTGTTAATACTCCAACTTTTTTATATTCCACAAATAAGTGAGATCATATAGTAGCTGTCTTTCTGTCTGGCTTATTTCAGTTAGTATAATGTTCTCAAGTTTCACTCAATTGATTGCAAATGGCAGAATTCCTTCTTTTTTATTACTAAATAGTATTTCATTACATTAATATATACCACATATTCTTTATCTGTTTATCCATTGGTGCACATATAGAATGTTTCCATATATTAGCTATTGTGAAGAATGCTGCAATGAACACGGCGTGCAGATATCTCTTTGAGATCTCTCAAAGGAAGCCAATTTTGTTTCCTTCAGATATACAGTCAGAAGTAGGGATTACTGGATCATATGACAGATCTATTTTTAATGTTTTGAGGAATGTCATACTCTTTCCATAATGGCTTCCAGCATGAGGCCACTTGTTCTGGTGGGGTTCCTCCGGCCAGTACCACCTAGCTGCCTCATATCTATTCATTGTAGAAGGAAGCATCAGATCCTACAGAGGAGGAGAGTGCTTTCCTGCAGTGGATATTGTCTTGTGTTTTCAGAAAGACTCCTATTGTTCCAAAGGAGACATAAGCCTACCTTGTTTTCTGTTGCTAGCTTGGAGTCAGGAAAATTAAGGCCTGGATCACAACCTTTTGTTGGGTGAGAGGATGTGAGATGCCATTCTTCTGTGCTCTTATTTGTATTCTGTGATCTCAAACCAATTTTCATTCCTCTTACCATCTTTAAGAATTTTCCTTTATTTGCCTCTTCCATCATTTTCAGAGTTTATAGCTGTACTTAGCAGAAAGAAGCAGAGAAAAACAGGTCCATGACATCTTGTCCAAACTGAAAACTTCTTGAGTGACTATTTAATGTTCAATCTGACAAAGTAGTTTTTAAAAAGTCATTCAAGGCTGAGAATCAATGTCTTTAGCATGAAATAGTGTTCTCTGTGGTCCCATAATTTTTAATCCTCAATTCTCACCATGTTTCTGCATACATTCTTCACTCTAGCTATATGTATGCTACTTCAAATCCCAGGTTCTTTCCAGATACATCTCAATGCCCATCCCAACAAATGCCCAGTATAAATAATTATTTTCTTTAAGTTATACTCGAGATTTAAGATATAGCCTCAGATGTCCACACCTCAGGGAAGGAAGTGGGAAGAGAAGTATCTCCTGACTCCTACATTCGTGATGTTCCTCTTCTGTTTTTTCATAACATCTTCCACTTGTATCACTTATTAGAATGCCTGATGATTGCTAATATTTCCTCAGTTCCTAAAATAGCTCTGCATATTGCAGGCTATCAATACTGGGTAAACAATCACAGGTGGTATCAGTTAAACATCAAAAATGGCTCTGGGGAGCAGTAAGCTAAACAAATTAAATATTATCTAAAGAAACACATAGACATTCAAAAATAGTATACTTTACTAAGTGCCTTAACAACATTGTTTTCCTTAGTCCTCAAGGTATATATTATTCCCCCATTTTACAGGAAAAACAGTTATTCAATGTTATGTTTACTAAATCATGCTACCTGTTACTATCTGCGTGTGTGTGTGTGTGTATATATACATATATGTTTTTTTTTTGTTTTTTGAGACAGTCTTGCTCTGTCGCCCAGGCTGTAGTGCAATGGCACGATCTCGGCTCACTGCACCCTTTGCCTCCTGGGTTCAAGTGATTCTCCTGCCTCAACCTCCCAAGTAGCTGGGATTACAGGCACCTGCCACCTCACCCAGCTAATTTTTGTATTTTAGTAGGGACGGGTTTCATCATGTTGGCCAGGCTGGTCTGGAACTCCTGACCTCAGGTGATCCGCCCACCTGGACTGCCCATAGTGCTAGTATTACAGGTGTCAGTCACCGCGCCTGGCCAATCTCTGTATTTTTTGTTTATTTGTTTTGTTTTGTTTTTTTGGTTTTTGATTTTTTTGAGACAGAGTCTCGGTCTGTCGCCCAGGCTGGAGTGCAGTGGCGCAATCTCAGCTCATTGCAAGCTCGGCCTCCCGGGTTCCCGCCATTCTCCTGCCTCAGCCTCCCGAGTAGCTGGGACAACAGGCGCCCGCCACCACGCCCGGCTAATTTTTTGTATTTTTAGTACAGACGGGGTTTCACCGTGTTAGCCAGGATGGTTTCGATCTCCTGACCTTGTGATCCGCTCGGCTCGGCCTCCCAAAGTGCTGGGATTACAGGCGTGAGCCGCTGCGCCCGGCCTAATCTCCGTATTTTTTAATGAGAACATAGATTTAGAAATATGATACACTGCTCATAAATTATAAAGTTGAGGATATAAAGATATTTGGAAACAATTATAGAGTTTTTCTATTTAAAAACACACACAAAAAAAGTATAAATGGAAGTCATCCATCCACAGATCTGCCATCAACACACTCATTGTCAACATTTCTATTTATTATGACTAAGTAGTTTTATTCATAATTTCTTATGCAAAGATAAAATGTAGACAAAAAAGTAGACAAAAAACAAAAAATTTTATGCAAAGATAAAATGTAGACAAAATCTGCAGAAGAATGTGTGTGTGTTTCATTACTACCCAGTCCATAAATAATCTATTTTTCCAGAGTCAATCATTGCTACATATTTATTTTGTTTTCTTCTAGAAATACATACACACAATGTACTTTTTTTTACACTATTGTTGAACATACACACTGTTTTCAGCTTATTCACTATTTTCTAAAAAAATTTTTGTTATTATAAGTGGAATTCTGTTCCATTTATATATACTCAAATTATTATTTACTTCATTTCTTCAAGTGTATGGTATCATTAGAAATATCTTTTCCAACTTGAGATTTCTCCATAGAAATCTTGCATGCTTTGTTACAGCTTCTCATGGCTTCATATTTTGACTTCTCTCTGGAATTCCTTTTGGTATAAAACATGAAAAGGGGAGACACAACTTTTTCTCCAAGTGAACACCAAGATACCCTAAACCATTTACTGGACAAGGTATCTTTGCCCGCTGATTAGAAATGTCACCCTTACTATCCTATTGAATTTCTCTCTGTATTTGGATTTATTGCTTTTTAAAAATGTTCCATCAATCTGATTGACTGTATGTGCACTAGTACCTGTAGATTTACAATATATTTTAATACCTGTTAAAACAGCATCCCTTCTTAATTACAGCAGCTTTATATATTTTAATATCTGATAGGGCTAGTGCCCTCTTGTTATTTTTCCCTTTCGAACATGCCCTGGATTATCTTATTTGTTCATTTTCTTATTAGTACTATAAGTCATTTGTCATAATTCTTTCAAAAAAACCACTGATATTTTATTGCAGTGCAATACATTTTTAGATTAACTAAATTTTTAGATTTGTATAATTCTTTTTAAAAACCATTGATATTTTATTGCAGTAAAATACATTTTTAGATTAACTGGGGGAATTTATTATCTTTATGAAACAGATTCTTTTATCAGAGAATATGGTTGACTATGCTTTTCTTCAAGATTCCTTTTGTGTACTTCAAGATCTTTTAAAATTTCTCTTTGAAATCATCTTTCCCGTTTTATAGACAGCTATATTTGTTATATTTGGTGCCATTATAAATGGTAGCTTTACTTCCGTTACATATTCCAAATACTTTTTGTTTGAATATAAAAAGCCAATTAATTTATGTCTGTAGATTAGTATTATATAGTGCCATATTAATTAAATTGTTGGTTTTTATTTTGGCCTTGTTGTTTTTCAAATTACTCTCCTTAGTTTTCTATGTAAACAATTACATGCTTAGCAAATAATAACAATCTTACCTCTTCCTTTCCAATTTTTATTTCTTCATCTTGTCCAATTACTTTAGCATATACCTTCAAAACAACACTAAATAATACTCATAATCAAGAATATACTTGCCTTATTCCTCATAGTAATGGGAAAACTGGATTTTTCCCTGAGCATTGCCAGGATTCCAAAAATTTTCCCATGATTCTCTTATAACACTCGCAAATAATCTGCTGGGTTTACCTGCACCCTCTTTTTTCCACATACATATTTGAATGCTCAGTTCATATTCGTCTTCTCTATAAGAGTTTCTTCAGTCCCTCTACCTTGCAGAATCACCCTATAGTCATCCCTCTAGCATGTATTTTTGATACATTTACTTACTTGTTCATGACTTATTAATTCAATAATGATTGTTCATCTATTATGTGCCAGGCCCTGAATCTGATACTTTTGTTTTAAACATTTTTGAAATGGCATCATTCCTGTATTTCCAGGGCTAAAAGTACAATGAAAGATGCAGAACTGTTTATCTTCTTTTACAACATGGAGTAGTGTTTATGATTATGCACTTTGGGTTATGACAGTTTAGGGTTTCTAAGTCTTTCCATCTGTGGAACTGTGAACACTTTACTTAAACTCACTATGCCTCATTTACCTCACGTGAATGAAGAGTGTTACTCACAGAGGTTTCCTGTGGTTATACGTGACAGTGCTTGAACAGCTCTGAGCACAAGAATGAAAATTAGTTACTGTTGTAACTCTAATTATTGTTATAATTAATAGAGTTAAGCACTGTTAGAGGTTCACACAATGTATACTAAGAGATAAGGAGTCTTTTAGGAAAGCAGAGAGTAATGGTATGAAAAGAAGAAAATGAAATACGTGACAAACAAGGGTAAAGAATTTTAAAGGATGGAAGATTACAGAGGAAGAAACAGTATATACAAGGTGAATGGAATACAAAAAAATAAGAACATGCCATTCTGAGAAATGAATTTGTTTCACTAAAATTAGAGCTCACAACCAGGAGACAAGATAGAAAAGTAAATTCTAGAATTGTATGCCACCACGTTTCTATCCTATATCCTAAACAAGTGCTCACCAATGCCTTTATACAATTACTTTATTTTATTATTCCTAAGATCTTTTGACTGCTAAAATTATATAATTAGAAATCTAAAATGCAAGGGCTAGGTTTCAAAATTATTTTGCCACGTATTTACCTGAGTTATTTGTAAATATATCTGTTGAATAAATACAAGTTCAGGATATGATTTAAAAAATAATTTCATGCCTACTAAATAAGTGATAACCTAAAACTAGAAAGTCAATATACTTGTTTACTTCAAATTTCACCTTCCCAAATTCCCTAATATAGACTGACTTTTTGTCTCTTAGGCAAATAAAACAGAATCCCTTACAGTTTGGCCTCCATTTTATGTTAGGAGGGACCCCATTAGGATTTTTATGCACACTGGAACTCATTCTTTCAAAGCCATAAACTTATATTTAGGAAACATCAGATACAGTGCTAGCCACAGAGATAAATAAAAAATGCTTTCTACCTTCTATAAACTCAGAGATTAATAGAAAAAAGATATATAAAAATATGGACAAAGCCACATTCCAGATAGTTAAAATGTGGTTCACAACAACGTTTAAGACCGTTGCTTAGGGCAATTATTCTGGCAGTGATACACATAATAGTTTGTGGGAAAAAAGACCACCAGTGGATGTCAGAAACCTCAGATAATGCTAAACCCTAAATTCACTACGTTTTTTCTTTTTTTTAATCTGAAAATATAATTCTATCTTTGGAATTATAAACTCCTTTCATTTAATCAGTGTACATTAACAGAATAATTAAAATAATCAAATGAACAATTGTCTTAATATACTGAGTAATTTTTATTGAGATGAAAAGTCCACTGATAATTAAAAACAGATAGAGACAGTACTATGTGCAATACAATGTAGCTGGAATATAGCATGCCCTGAAAAACAGTTTGGGGAAAATTAAAAATTTGCCCTATTGAGATAAGAATGTTAATGTCCAAGATACATGTGAATAATTGAATAATATGGTTTTATGAAATGGATAAAAGAACATAGTAAAATAATATTATATAATCTATGATTTCAAATACGTACACATAACAAAAATACTGAAATATTTTATGAGAGTAGAAAAACTTTCATTTTAGAATAACATTGATACCTTTTTTTTAACTTTTATTTTAAGTTCAGGTGTACAAGTTCAGGTTGGTTACATAGGTAAACGTGCACCATGGGGGTTTGTTGTACAAATTACTTCGTCACCCAGGTATTTCACCTAGTACCCATTTGTTATTTTTCCTGATCTTCTCCCTCCTCCCACCCTCCAGCCTCCAAAAGGCCCCAGTGTGTGTTGTTCCCCTCCATGTGTCCATATGTCCTCATCATTTAGCTCCCATTTATAAGTGAGAACATGCAGTATTTGGTTTTCTGTTCCTTCATTAGCTTGCTAAAGATAATGTCCTCCAGCTCCATCTATGTCCCTGCAAAGAACATGATCTTGTTCTTTTTTATGGCTGCATAATATTCCATGGTGTTTACTGGGATATCAGAGCCAGTGGACCTATGTTTTTCCACCTAAACCTTGCTTCTCACATTCCTTTGGTGCTTAAAGTGTTTGATACATTTGCCTTTTACTTCAACTGAACATTTTCTTCTATTTTCTAGTTTTCTTCTACTTATTTTTCCGTATCTTTCCCTTCTTTCTTTCCCTCTTCTATCAGTTACTCTGCCAGTTTCTCTGGTGAGGTTGCTGCTGTGGCCTCAACTGGGCCTCTGATGGGACCTCAGCTTGGGCCTCTGATAAATCATGACAGCTACTAAAAAGAGTAAAATGTAGGGGACATATTCAGCATGCACATGCTGGACAAAGAGATGATTCACGTTCTGGGAAGGTCAGGGTGAGATACAAGAGCAGCCTGAAATTTAAAGCATGAATTGTTTATTTCTGGAATTTTCCATTTCATATTTTTGGACTGTGGATGACTGTGGATAGCTCCACCTGCCAAAAGTGAAACCAGAGATAGCCACTGTAATCCAAGAGATAGTCCCTATTAGGTAAACTAAAAAGCTCATTCTATTCTACCAATAAAGTATATAGATAGATAGATAGATAGATAGATAGATAGATAGATAGAGCTTATGTTAATAGTTATCACTGAATGTTTAAAAAATACATAGTATTTAGTCTTATGAGGTGAAATTAGTTCCTTATAAATTGGCAGCCTGATAAACAAGTAAAAATTATAGGCAAATCTGTCCTATTATTTATGCTTTTGTTTATTCCAATTATACTCTGTAGTGCTTCTATAATGTACTTAATCATATAGAAAAACTACAGGAATATAAAATTAAGTTATAAACATACAAACAAAATAACCTTATTTCTTTAACCTTCAAACAAAGAGCCTTCGGAAAGATCAGAGCTATCCATATTGAATTCACCTGCATAGGGCATAGAAACATTTCTATAAAATCTGATCTACTTTAATTCATGGGAAGTTTACTATTTCTTCCACTGAAAGTAAATATGTTGTCTACTGTAGCCTCAATAAAAGGTTACTGGGGAAAGAAATTCTGTGACCATTTACATTATTATTTTTATTAATAAGATGAAATTAAAAATAATAAATTTAAAACTGCAACAATTCTTTGTAATTTCATTGTCAAGTCAAACTAGATAGAAGAGCAATATATTTTCCAAAGCAACCAGTACTTATGTACATACAAGTATTGTAATACATTATTTATGTGGCATGCCACAAACACAGACATACACAGGCACACATTTTTTCAGTAATAGAAAATTGTGACCATATTGATGCTTTCAAATAAAATTTCATCAAGTACTCTAAAGCTCTTCATAAATCTAGACAAATTAAAAATCAAGCATTACTTGATAATGGAAAGCATTCGAAGTTAAGAAGCTTTCAGGTTTAGTATTCAAATTAAATCTTATACTTAAGTAGAATTATATTGAGTATAATCTAAGCTTTCACTGACAATCTAGCTATAATTGAAATATCACATAATTATATAAAGTGCCACAAAACAAAATAAATATAAATTACCATAATTTTACTGCAATAAAGAAGAGAGATCTACACGGTTATAAGTGCTTAAGAAATATACCACTTAACTGAATAATAAGAAATCTGTATTAAATGTATAATTTTAAATATTGTTTTGATCACATTTTGCCTATTTATATTTATGCAAGAAATATTTGGTTAAGCTATGACATTTCTATAAATTTACAAAGGATTCTTTATGTAACAGCTTCTATAACCATTAGTCCAAGCGGCATCCATTATTTGGGTAAAATGTGTTTTAACTTCATTAAAATATTTAAACACCATTTTATATAGAAAAAGCAGAATGTGCACAGGTCATATGGCAGAAAAAAAGTAGGGTATTTACATAAATTAAGGAAGGAAAGAGTGGTTAGACCACAGAAATAAATGGGGGAGGGTATTAAAGGAGACTATGAAGACAGGTAGAGCCAAAACCATCACAGCCTATAGAGAAAAAATAAAATACTTTTTCTCTTAATTCTAAGAGTAATGGTTAATTTCTGAAATGATTTCTGAAATGATTTAAACAGTGAGATTACATAAGATTTCTGTTTTACAATAATTACTCTAAAATATGGTTTAGAAGATAGAGAGATGTGGAGATCTTATAGGAGGCTATTGAATTAATCTAAGAGATAAATTATGCTGCTGGGTTCGAAGAGAGTAAGGGCCATGTGTGTTGTTCATGGTTGTGCTCAGTGCCTTTAGCATAAGTTCAATAAACGTTTTTGTTAATTTGTCTGTTCATTTAGTATATGATTGAAAATTACTCTTTTCCAAGCAGTAATTATTTCTCTGTACTACAAACTATTGATTTAAGAGTTTTCATACTGCATATTTTCAAGCAGACACACACAAAAAATTATCACCTTTTGGTCCTGAGAATAACCAAGTAGAATTTAAAATTTGTTTTATAAAGTACCACACTGGGAAGAATTAGCAGCAGTAACCAACAATAAACTTCTGCTACAGGATTCTTCACTTAGCATTTGTCATCCCAAATGATAACTTTTTCTTAAAATTTTTCAATTCCAAAATAATAAACCTGCAAAAACACACATAGTACCCTTACTGTTTGGGAGACAACTCAATCTCTTGTTTCTTCCATTTAAATACTTTGTCAGTAACATGGCAATCAATGACTTCAATGCTGGTGGTTCTCCTACTACATTCCTACACATATTTCTGTTAAATGTTTGTATTAAAGGCCAGCTTACACACAAACGTGTATTCTTAAATGTCATCATCATTGGTAAAATTATATTTAGTTTTGACAATAAAACAGTTGATAGTGCCAACTCTTTTAATGGAAAGAGCATGGTTTTCTTTTTTTCTTCCTTTCCCTTTTTCTAAGCAGATGAGCAAACTGTCAAACATGGGAATCAAGGACTGTCTGGCTGAAGTTGGTCAAATGAATGTTACGAGGAAATTGAATTTATATGCATTCAATATTTTATACACAACGAGAAAGTAGTCTCATTGAATAAATTCTGTAAAAATAGCATATTTAATATACATATGTTCTCTTTTGAAGTTATCCTCATTTTATTCTTAGTTACATCTATTAGACAATTCACACATACATTCATTCAGAGGTGTATTAAAGTTTTATTAAGCACAAGTTACTATACCTGGCATGAGGGCAGATGGATAAGTACAGATGCTCCCCAACTTAATAATAGTTCAACTTAACAATTTTTTGACCTTATCATGAATTTAACAGGATGTAACCCCATCATAAGTCAAGGAGCATCTGGATCTTTGATGGCTCAACTTATAAATTTTCAACTTTACAAGGAGTTTATGGGGGTACTAAATGCATTTCCGATTTCACAATATTTTTAATATCTATTGGGTTTATTGGTATGTAACCCCATTGTAAGGCGAGAAGTATCTGTACCACACAGTCTCTACATTTATGATGTACTGAGAAACCAGTCAAAAAAAAAGTTACACAAACAGATTCAAGTAAGTGTGATAAGAAGTATAATAAGAACACGTGCAGAACACAGCACTTTAGGAGAAGACTAAGTTAAATCTTGAAATATGATACTAAATGGAAAAATTATTTGTATGTCAAGAATATTTAGGCAGAAAAATAAATGAATGTGGTACACATACACAATGAAGTACTATTCGACTGTAAAAAAGAGTGGCATCCTTTCATCTGGAACAACATGGATGGAACTGGAGGTCATTATGTTAAGTGAAATAAGCCAGGCACAGAAAGACAAACATCATATGTTCTCACTTATTTATGGGATCTAAAAGTTGAAACAATTGAACTCATGGAGATAGAAAGTAAAAGGATGGTTACCAGAGGCTGGGGAGGTTAGTGGACTTGGGGAGGGGAGTCAGGATGGTTAATGGGTACAAAAAATAGTTAGTAAGAATGAATAAGACCTAGTATTTGATAGCGCAACAGAGTTATTATAGTCAATAATTTAATTCTACACTTTTAAACAACTAAAAGAGTATAATTGGATGGTTTGTAACACAAAGGATAAATCCTTGAGGGCATGGCTACCCCATTTTCCATGATGTGATTCTTACACATTGCATGCCTGTATGAAAATGTCGCATGTACCTCATACATATATATACCACTATGTACCCACAAAAATTAAGAAAAATAAAATAAATTGCAGAAAAGTAACATGAAACACTTTGTGTTACCAAAAAGTCTGGTGTGAGAATACACCAAAGTCCATCAAGTCTAAAAAATATAGTCTAGTTTTGTTTTGTTTCGTTTTGTTTTTTGGGACAGGGTCTCACTCTGTCGCCAGGCTGGGGTGTGGTGGTGCAATCTCAGCTCACTGCAACCTCCGTCTCCCAGGCTCAAGTGATTCTCCTGCCTCAGCCTCCTGAGGAGCTGGATTACAAACGCGCTCCACTACCACCCAGCTAATTTTTGTATTTTCAGTAGAGACGGGGTTTCACCGTGTCGGCCAGGCTGGTCTGGAACCCCTGACCTCAAATGATCCATCCACCTTGGCCTCCACCATGCCCGGCCTAGAGTCTAGTTTTAAGGCTACTGCAATCACCTAGGTGATAAATAATGGGCCCTGAATTTAGGTAATGACAGTGAGAATGGAAGGAAGGCAGACTGAAGTTTTAATTAAGAAGCTGTATAAATAAGACTTTATAATTAAAAGGATATGATAAATGACTTTGATAAGCAAGTTGATAAAGGCCCCCAAAAAATAGAAGAGAAAGTTTGCAAGATAGCAAGGATAGTTTATTTTGAACATATTAAAGATGACATGCCTGCAAGTCATACAGATAAAGAGGCTGACCTGAAGAAAGAGACTTTTATTATCATCAATTGAGAATTGAAGTTAATTAAATCATTTGGGGGAAAATGCAGTGAAGAAGAAGAGAGGCACCCAGAATCAATATCTGGAGGACATCAATACCTAAGGAAAAGATACTAGAGAAGGCAACTGATAAGAAAAGAGCAATAAGATAAGAAAAAATCTTAAAAAATACTATGATCTAAAAGCCAAAAAGGATGTTTTAAGAATAAAGGAATAATCAGCAATATAACATGACAGAGAAGAGAAAGAGGATGAAGTCCACCGATGGTAACAATGAGGAAACTATGGACATCCTTAACAAGATCAGTTTCCACAAAGTCCTGGAGTATGGAAAACTTCATGGTGAGAAAGTAAGAGAAAATAAGAATATTATTTCAGAGTGATTAACTATTACGGGAAAATGAGCAGGTGACAGAGGGATACTCGGTGCTATGGTTCTTTCACTTGCAAACAAGATTCTTGATAAATGACCTTTCCTTTATGACTGGAATGAAAAAAATAATGCTGAATGCAAAAGTATAGAAATGTATATGTGGGAAGTATTGCCAGAAATTGAGTGAGTAGAACTCTCATTGTCTCCATTTTCTCTGTGAAAAGAAAGGTAGGCATGATTACTTTCTGAGAAAGGAGGATGGCGTAAGGGTGAGGATAGTCAATGTCTGAAGACTTAACAGTGAGCTATGGAGAGCAAGATGACAAGAGACGTGAAATTGCCCAAATGGTAATAAGAATAGAACAAGTGTAAAGGCCTCATATATGCATTGGTAGCAAATCACTGTTTCCACAAAACTGTGAGATCCCCAGGTCAGTTACCTTGTTCTCACCCATTCTCAGTTCAACATTATCTTTCTTGGACTAAAGAAACCAGAAAATAAGCATGTTCTCTCTTTGTATATCCCTCGCTTTCAAATCTCTTGTATTCAATTCAGATTTTACACACTGCCTGCATTTACTGCACTTAAAAGAAAATAATTGTCTTATTAAATACTTTGCCAGTGGGTCTCTGGTAATTTCTTCTGGAAGTAAAGATAATCCAGATTTTCGGTACCTCAAGGGGAGGTAGTCATGAAAAGACTAGATCAGTGCCATCTAATCCACCAAATAAACCCCTGCATTCTAAAGCTTATATTTACATTGAGGTTTTATTAGTCTATCTATGCATATAAGGTAAACATTCTACAACAAAATATGTAACCAGACACCTTAAGGTTCTTTCTATTTTTTGTCAGTCTCATTTAATCTCCATGATTAAGGCAGATTCAGGTCAGAATAAATAATTTCCATAAAAGAGTATTTATTAACTGTATTTGGTGCAATAATAAATCAGATTCAGCCTAGAGAAAAAGAAACTGAATTTAATGTCTAAACAGCCTAATAGTCAGGTTGACAAGTTAAAGCTTTTATCCATAGATCATAAAACACAATGCAGTATAAATATAAATAGAATTGGTAAATAAATATCATAGAAGATTAGCTATTTTATTTGAGTTGTCTAGACTAGTAAAAACAAATATAACAAAAAGTATAATATTTGGAGTATTTGGGGATAATGTAAAAATTAATTTTTAAATATCTAGGTTTATTAAAAGGATATTATATTTAAAAAATGCTCCTTGTGGATTTATGAACTCGAGAGTAAAAATTCATTTGCTGTGTTAATAATGGTTAGGCATCATAATCTGATTTACATGCCATCTAAACATTGTCAAGTTAATGTCAAAGATGATTACAAGAAGAGATATTTTTCATCTAGGAAGAAGATAATAAAACTCTCATAAGATCACAGAGCTAAGCACTTCAACAAATAACACTTTCACTGATTTCACTGCATGATGCAGCAGTAAAGATGCTATTCTGTTAAAAATTTATCTATGAGGAAACAGACATTCCAGCTGATCTTCTAAATGGAGTGATTTTCAAAAACAGTGCAAAATTATTAATTCTATGACAGTAGCAGTTCTCAAAATTATTTTCTATTTATAATAATTTCAATTTCTCCCACATTATATCACAGCTCTCTTTACAGCGAAAACTCATTACTGTTATTCATGTCTTGAGTATTTTTAAAGTTATGTTACAATTTGTATTAAGCATAGATTATAAATTTGTTTACAGCTTTATTATTACTAAACATATCATTAGGTTAACTTTTAAATGTTCCAGTTTAGTATCTAAACCCAAGATGAACTGACTGCTCATTTTGACAAATGCCACTGGGCTGGATCATCGATAACTGAAATGGATAAATAACTACAATTAACAATGAAATTTTAAATTAAACTGTACTTTGATTGAAATTAGCATTTCAAAGACTTGTAAACCTTATGGGAATGTTTGGAAATAAAAAGGGGGAAACCTATTAAATTGCTAGAAATTGCCAAATTGTAAAGCACAGAAAAGTTGTCATGTTAAATTAATTGAATTACTGAGAGTCTAAAATTACAAATTATGCAATATGCTCCATAGATGATTCAACAGCTATTTTTTCCTTGCTTTGTAACTGCTGTAATTATAATTTCCTTTGAATCCAAAAACAATATGCCAAAATGTCTGATTTTTAAATGTTTTAAACTAGCACAAATTCACAAATGAAATTCAATTTGACAGAAACAATTTGAGTAATAGTGCAGCTTTCTCTGAGGACTTTTTTTAAGAAAACAAAAGTCTCTCATTACACAGGATATTTACTATGAAAGAACAAAGAAGTCAAACTCCGCTTGCTTTTAGTTTTTGAGGGTAAATGTAAATCAACGCTTTAGAATAGATATATTTGGAGCCTTGCAACATGCACTAGGATGTGTATTCTAAGGTAAAAATAATCTTCTACCACTTGCAGTATTTCATCCTCCTACTGTGAGGCCAAAAGAGAAATTAATATGTAATTCAGAACTTTATGAAAAGCCTGTTTTAGCAAGGTCCTATTCCAACGGCAGAAAACCATTGGAAGTGTTGGGGGGAAAATATAATAGTAGATGGAATTTTTAATTGTCACTAAGGAGAAAATATAAAATAACAAAAGGTTAAAACAAATTAGAAAATATTTTTCTGGATTATTTACTTTTTCTTTCTTCTATTTGCTTAATATGTATTCCATGCTTTCTTTGTTTGATGCCCTGTTCTAGGCTTTGGGGATGTTTCATTATATATATATATATAAAATAGTACATGCTCTAAAGTATCTTTTGCTCCAGTATTGGGTGAGCCTCACATTAAATAAGTAAGCAAACATATATTATGTAAAATAGTGATAAATATTATTGAGAAAAAAGGAAGCATGGTAAAGCAGATACGGAAAGATTAAAAAAACAGCAGTTGCTGTTTTATAGAGAATGGTCAGGGATGACATAATGATAAGGTGACACTTGAGCAGAAACCCAAAGAAAATGAGGGAGGACAACATGCAGTAATCTGGAGGAAGGGTGTTCCAAGCAGCAAGAATTACAAGTGCAAAGACACTGGGGTGGGTAATTGCTTGACAAGCCCAAGAAAAATTAAGAAGGATAAAGTGGTTAGTGGAGCGAAAGGAAGGTAAAATAATAGGAGATAACTGGAGAGCGAAAGCAAGGAATGGAATTGTGTAGGGAAATGCAGGCCATAGTGGGAAGCCATTGGGAAGTGTTGAGAACAGACATAACATAATTTAATTTAGATATTAAAAGGATCAATTGAGCAGCTCTGAGGAGAGCAGACTAAGCAAGCAAGAGTGAACCAAAAGTAGGGGAGCAGCTGGGAGGCGATGGCAAGACTCCAGCCAGAGAGGCCACCCCGACATATGGCAATGACAGAGATGGTGAGAACTGGTCAAATTCTGGGTGTCTTATGACAAAAGAATTTGGGAATGACATAAATGTGAGTTCTCAGAGAAGGAACACAGGCAGGAAGAAGTTCAAGTTTTTTGGCATGAGTAACGGGGAAAGTTGGTAATTGGATTTACTAGTCTGGAGTTCTATAGAAAGAAAATTATTTTTCCCAAAAATCATCTTGTAAACGCTATAAATATATAAACAATTTATGAAAACTACAACAAACCTTTAAATCCACAGAAACACATGTATGTGCAACATGTCATTTATTCAACAAATGCTGCTTTTACTCGAGACTCCTTGTAGAAACTAAGCTCCCTACCAAGAATGTATCGTCTACAAATTGGAACTCATAGGACTTACTTATTTTATTGCATGAAATGGTTTAGATCTGGACTTTGATATGATGTCAATACAATAAAAAGCTATGTACCTTATGTGGAATAGCTGAACAGTCAAGAATACAACATATACAAAGGCATAACAGGAGATAGATTTTGTCACTATTGCAGCTCACTAAAATTAGTAATTTTATCTGAATCAGAAGGCGAGTACGTCTGATTAAAATAACAAATTTTCATTATTTTTTGTATAAACGAAAATGCAGAGCTAGAAAGCAGTCAATTCAATTAAGCTCAATAAACATTAATTAACTGAATACTATACTATGCTTAAGCACTATGCTGGAGTAAAACAATCAGTGACACTCAAGCCCTCATAAGGTAATCAGTGTGAAATATCTTTGTTTCACAACAGAAGATGACATATATTGTGGGTTTTGCTTCTTTTTCCTGTGTAAGCTGCAAAAGAATGAACATTGTTAGGAACTTCAATTTTTCAATTCTTTTTGTTTAAAACAAGTTACAAATACAACTGCAGATGATAAAAAGCAGAAGGAAAAGAAAATTGAAAACAACAGAAAGAAAACAATCAGAAAATCATTTGTCCAAAACAGAAGTTTAAGTCAGTAAAGGCTGGAATATTTCAGGAGAGTTTCACATGGGGTGAAGAACTTGCATTAGACATTCAGGAATAGGTAGAAAGGAGCAAGTGAAGTGGGAAGCATGAAGATAGTGGGAGGTGAGGACAACCACTATCTTAGATGGGGCAAGTCCCAAAACTAGCAGTGAATGTGACTGGTTTTAAGAACAAAGAGTCAAAAGTGTTTCTATGAGTACAATATTCACATTAGTATCAGCATTTTATTTCAGAGTATAAAAAATTCATCAATATGGCTTCAGATCCTGCCTTCAACTAAACTGTGAGGAACTACCCTTTTCGAACAACATATCTATGTGTGGGCTAATATTCTTCACAAAACAACATATTGCACCAGATTGAATGAAGAAAGAGAAAATCCCAGCCAGACAATGAAGAAATTTGCAAAACTGTAAAGCAATACCGCACTTCTCATCATTTTTTTTGTTTGGGAAAATATAGATGTTTCTAAAAAATTATTTTATTTAACATATAATGGGTTAAATACTATTATCTGAAAATAGCTTACTTTTTTTCAGATGTCTGTTTTCATTATTAATTAGGTAAGTATTAATTGATACAACTCACAGAAACCAACATTCTTTTTGATCCTCAGTAATTTTTAAGAATGTTAAGGGATCTTGTAAAAAAAAAAAGATTAAAAACAACTACATTAGCATATTTATTAGTATTAATTACTATCTATATATCTCAATTTCCTCATTTGTAGTATGTGAAAAATAATAATGTCTAACTTTAAGGGATTTTTGTGAAGACAGATACTCCAATGGCTGAAGTGCTATACTTTCCAGATCCCCACAATCAGGACTGAAACATGCATTCTCCCAGCTGCTGTGTTTTGACTACTATCTGCTCTCAACTAAATCCCTCTTCACGACTTGGCCTCAGCTCTCAGCCCTTACTGCCTTGTCCACTGTGGGTCACAACCCCTTCTCCGAGCAGTCTGCACTCCTTGATCAATATGGAGGTATAGAGAATGCTTCCTCTTGCCCTGATGTAGAGCAAATATGAAGACTCATCTCAGTCTGAGAGTTCATTATATGATCAGTTGAGGCCCTGTTCCCACTGCATTACATTTCAACTTATCCTTCTGTGCAATTCTGCTTTCTTCATTCAACCACCTTTTACAAACATAATTGATGGAAGTGAGTAGAGAACTGGTACATGGGAAGAGCCAGAGAACAGATATTCAGGCCTTATTGATTCTGATTGCAAGTTCTGTTTTTTCTACTTCACCTTATTTTCTAGGCCAGATATTACCTTGTCTTGCAGTTTGTAATGTTTTGTAAATAAACCATTTGTGATGTGTTCACCTTTGATTTTAGGCTTAGGGCCAGTCTGTAGATTAATAAACATCAGCCATTAATAAACATCAGCTAATATTGCTGACGAATGCAGAAGGATTTGCTATTGAGTATATTTATTATAAATTGTATGCAAAAAAACTGGCTGAATTCCCTTGCTTTATAAATGTGTATTTTTACATATTGGATTCACTTTAGCAAAGTATACACGCACCACCATCATCACCAGGATTGCTACTTTCTTGACAATCAAAGCAAAAATAAACTCCCTATGCAATACCTTTACTCAAAGACACAAATCTAGGACACATATCCTCAAGGAAAGGACCAAGCTGATTTGTAGTTCTTCTCACATAATGATAAGGGAAATCATAAATTTATTAAATGTTTTTGAAGTCTTTAACAGCCTGTTCTTACTTAAACCATTCTTACTTAAACCCAGTCACTTCAAATTAAGTCTAGGAAGAAGACAGGTGAAAACTGGTTGAGATTCAATAGTCTATTAATGAAAGCACAGAATTGTCAGTTCAAATTGGTCCTAAGTGTTTTTATTCATTTTACACTTTCTTACATGACACATGTAGAGTCCTATGTTTGGAATCTGAAATATTGTTCCTCCACATTATCAGTGATCCTAAGGATAACTCTTTAACTAAATCTATACCACCAAAATAAATAAATCTACTATTGTCTCTTTAGTCCTTTAACTCAAGATTACATAACTGTCAGTTAACCTAGTCAGTAGCCAAAATAATCATTCTGTGGAAATTTCTGCAGTCAAGGCCAAATTCTCTTGGAATAAAACAAAATTTAGAAAATCTAAGGTCTAGTGTCTAGAAAAAAAGGATTAATTATCACTTTCTAATCAGTTTTCAGACATGTGATTTATGCTATTTTTCTATGAATGTAACATGTTTTTAAAGATTATTTCCCAAAACAGTGTATCCATGGCATAGAAATGGTGAGTGTTCTTAATATTGAAAGAATATACATATTTTATAAAAGCCAAAAATATAAAAAAGCTATAAATATCTATGTCGGGCGTGATGGCTCACGCCTGTAATCCCAGCACTTTGGAAAGACAAGGCGGGAGGACCACTTAAAATCAGGAGTTTGAGTCCAGCCTGGCCAACACTGCAGAATTGTGTGTTGCAACAGAGAACAATACACAAGTTACAGGGAGGTAGGATTCAATAGGAGAAAGAATTTTAATGACTACATCCATTTACTAAAAGTGCACAGTTTTTCATGGGGGAAATATGACTATGTAAGTTTTGATATATAATAAACTTCCAATAAATATTAACTTTCCAAATTTTCCATCCCTGACAATGAGCAAATTTAGGGAACAAATATTTGCTTTCATAGGGCTAAAAAAGAAAAGGGAAAATGTTATATAAGGCTTAATCATGAAAATTATAGATGAAATGTCATAGAAAGCTCATATTCTTAGGTATTAGGAAAAACATCTTAAGGTCTCCTAATAATAAATACTTAAGAAAATCCTGACAACCTACAAGCTTATATATAATTACTACCTCTCTTCAGACATGTTTGTTTGTATTTCTCATTTCTAATCCACTCATCATTAATTAATTAGTCTGTCATCTTTAAGTTCACTTTACGCATGAATTGGATTTGTGAATGGTTTAAAAATTAAGTGTGGCACTTTTATTTTCTGTCAATGAAGAAGCCTATATGATACCTAATTATTCTTTCTTTGCCATGACGTATTTTAATTAGAAAATAATCTTGCAATCAGCTCATGCCAACTGCATCTCTGGCTACTTGTTTCTTCATGTCCAGTGTCTTTTAGAAAAAATAATGCCTTTGAATAAGGTAGTTGATTTCAGAATTAACACACAGGAGCCAAACCAAAAACCCGCTGCTACTTACAATACAATAAGTATAAATCCCTATAGTCACATCCACTGCCTACACATAAGATTTTTGACTTTTATAAATTCTTCCTGTTACCTTTTGTCACCTTTCACACTACCCTATGTGCAAGACTATGAGGATATTTTACAGAATGACAGTTTGGTTTGTGACTAGAAAATAGGTTTATCATAAATTGGGCTGTGTGACTTCAGTCACTAATAAATTGTGGTATTTTATAATTGAAGTCAAAATATTAGAATGGTACACAAACTACTGAATAAAAGAAAAATAGCCAAAATATAAATAATTCATTGGTGTCCTTCTCTTAGGAACGTCATTATTGCCATTCTCCCTAATAGATTTAATTGATAAGTTCATGATTATTGGGTAACTATTCACTAATGGGAAAGCTTTTAAATACACAACTCTATTATTTTTAAGAACAAGCATAAAACAATGCATAATTGAATAAATAATATGAAACTTTGGCTAAATGCTGAGAGAAAACTTTTTTTTTTGGCAGCAAAGTATCTCAAACAAATTGCAATATAAAGTTTATCTCAAATGTCAACAAAAAAGCAATGTGCTGTTCTGTAGTCACAATAATAAAGAACACTGTCTTTTTTTATGTAAAGTATTTTTTACTCTAACCTATAGCCACATAATGAATTCATTTAATATATTTAAAATTAAATGAATGATGATTCCAGAAGGCCTATCTGTTTGTGCTACTTTCCTGCTTAAAACCAATCGCTTAAAAAAAGTCAATCGCTCCTGACTTCCTACCCAAACCCTCATTATATAATAGTGACTCTCCCTGGCCTAGCTCTTCTCTATCTCCTACCCCTTTCTATCATAGCATCTCACCTTTATTCTAACTCTCCTGCCTTACTGAAATACTTTGTGCATTATCGCAATTATACATGAATTTCTCTTGGTCTAAATTGCTGTTCTCTTGGTTTCTCTTGAGCTCACCAAGGTAATGGTTGTGTTAAGAATACAAAACAGAAAGAAGGCCAAGAAGGTGATCGCATACTGAAGTATTACCTAAAAGGCTTTCCCAAAGATTACTACATTCAATAGATTATATAATTGTTTGATTTTGCTATTTACTGTAAGAGCTCTGACTCAGTGAAGTTAAAAGGTAACTTGCAAATTTGTATCCAATGATGATACAAATGTTTTTGTCTAGTAATTGATAATTGTCCTGCAGGACCTGAACCGATTTTGTATCCAACTTTCCAATATTACTCTAGCATTCTTCTATCAAATTGCTATAAATATCCAGTTAATCAAATGCTCTTTGAACCAATTTACTATTGTGCAGGTTTTCTTATTAATGAATTGAGTAGATCTTTGATTCTTGTCCAATCTATATTTGTAAAAAATCATTTTTAAACTTTTGAAAATTACACTTTGACAATTGTGGACAACTCACTGAGATGCTGAAGTAAACTCACATGCTAGAACCACTTAAACTGCATTGCTGGAGAAGTAACTTCACGGTCTGATTAAGACCAGGCATGTCTCTTCTTGGATCTCAAAGTGACTTTCAAGTGGCAATAGCATTTCACGTTTGCTGAATTTCTGTTTGTTTTTTTCTTCTGATTTTTTTCTTGGTTTTATTTCTTTTTTTGTTTCGTTTTGTTTGTTTTGTGTTTGTTTCTGAGAAATTCTGTTATTCTGTTTCTTGTCTAATTCCTGGTTAGTGCTATGTTCTTTTCCACAATTCATCATCAAAACTGTTGAGTCTATGTCTTGTCTTGAACCACTCCCGGTTACAACTGTGTAGGCAAGAGAGCACCCTATGTAAAAGGCATGGCTTCAGCTGTGTCCCTTTCCACAGAGAGGTGAGGAACTAGTAAACACTTTCTTTACCAAGTGATCAAAAGTAACATCACCAGGAATGAGATAAATTGACATTTTGCACCCCCTGACATGATCCACTAAGAAGAACAATATATTACACATGTAGTTTCTCTTCCAAAAATTGCATAAGCTGAATCTAATAGTGAAAAACCAGACAATCATGAATTAGTCTGCAAATAACTGTCATGAGTGTTAGTGCCATGTAAGAGAAAAAATGATGAGAAACTATTTCAGATTAAAGGAGAGAAAAGAGACATAACAACTAAACATAACACGTGGTTCTGGATTGGAGCCTAGATTTTGTTTTAATTGAAACAACTAGGAAAAACTGAATATAGATTTATATTAAATAAAATACTGTGGCAAGGTTAAATTTGCAGATTTTGATACTTACTTTCTGATGTAAGAGAATATCCTTCTTCTTAGAAAATACATGCTAAAGTATATAGGAGTAAAGAATCATGATGTCTACAACCAACACTCACATGATTCACAAAAATAATATAGATAATATATGTTTGTTTTATCACAGAGACAGAAGGAGAGAGAAAGAAAGACAATGTGATAAAAATCACCAATTTGTAAATCTATCTAAAGGTCCTATGAGAGTTCTTTACTTAATCCATCTAACTTCCTTGTAACTATGAAATTATTGTTAAATAAAAATAGCCGGGTATGGTGGCTCATGCCTGTAAATACAGCACTTTGGAGGGCCAAGGCAGGTGGATCACCTGAGTTCAGGAGTTTGAGACCAGCCTGACCAACATAGTGAAACCCCGTCTCTACTAAAAATACAAAGTTAGCCCAGGGTGGTAGCGCACGCTTGTAATCCCAGCTACGTGGGAGGCTGAGGCAGGAGAATTGCTTGAACCCAGTAGGCGGAGGTTGCAGTGAGCCAAAATCAAGCCACTGCACTCCAGCCTGGGCAATAAGAGCAAAAAAAAAAAACTCCATCTCAAAAAAATAAAATAAAATTTACTTATGAAAACTGTAGCGACGTGGCATAACTAAAGTGATGCTCGTTCTATAAAGCATGAAAGTAAGTTTGGTTAACTTTTTCTTTAAAGTAAAAGATTCACATGCGGGAACAGTAGAAGAAGCAATACCTAATTTATCTGTTCTCTTGAGTCTGATACTATTAATATGCAACTGAGTTTTGTTATTTTCAGTAATGCTTTTATTTTTAAGAAATAAGTTGACACTAAGAAGAGGCAGAAAAAGGGGACAGAGGGGAAAAAATAAAAATAGAGATGAAGATACCTCATTTTACTTCTCTGAGTTCTACTTCCTACAAGTTCTGTTTTGTGAATCTGACAATTCGTGGAAACAGATTATCTGAACAAATGTATAATACAACCTTTCAAAGTTTAAAAAAAAAAAAAAGCTGTCTTACATTTCTTGGAAGACATAATGCCCAGTTTCTGGCTCATGGTAGTCCACAACGTTCACTGAAGAAATGCATTGGACTCACTTTACTTAAACCTTTGCTCTACCTCACCAATAATTATAAGCCAATTATATCCCCTCACTTCTATTTTCAGATTTGGTTGTGGGCTGTTCACCATTTGATTGATTACTTAGATCTGTAATAGAATCCAGAACTAGTAATTTCTTACTTATTCTAGTAAGGTGTCCTTGTGGGAAAGGAGCCTCTATTTTCAGAATGCAGGCATTTCAGGACTCTGGTAGGAAATCTAAATGTTTCAGATTCAAGACTTTCTTTTAGTTTCTTTTAATACCATGTAACTCAGCTGCCACAAGTAAAGAAATCTTCTCTTCCTGTTGACTATGTCATCCCCATGCCCTAAAATAGTACCTAATGCATAACGGGCACATAGTTAGCACTGGGTCAAACAGAATTTACTTTATTTGTCCATTAGGTGGACATTAAGTCCATCTAATAAAATCATCTTTTTAACACTCTCTTTAATTTGGGTTGCTGTTTTATCCTGAGCATTTCTACTGTTACTTTATTATGCACTCATGCTTCTTAAAAAAAGAAAAAAAAAGAAAAAAATATTTTTAGTGAAGTTTTTATCTATTGTTTCAGTAAAATAGGCTTGCTTATTGAACCAGAATAATTTCCTATCTTATGGTAAAAGTATTCTTATTTTTTAAATAATATAGAAATTTTTAGCAAAGCTATAGTACCAAAATTTATAAATCACTGTATTTTATATTGTTTTACAAAAGGAAAAAAAAATTCTGTAGAAATCATTTGAATAGGTCGCTTGTTCTGATTTCCTAAAAATTACTTAATAGTCTATTTATAACAAGCAGAGAATCATGAAAAGCTGAAGATTCAAGCATCTTTTATGTTCAACCCCACTGCACTGAATCAAAAAAATACAAAGCAAAACTATATACTGAACAACTGTGGCTATCTTTGAACTTCTTTAGTTAACAGACCTTACAGGCTTCCAGCAGCGTAATAGTAAGTTCCCTTCAAGAAATCATAGTATCACTTCATAAAACTTAATGGCATCCCAACTTCTTTTGTTATGCAGGACTTCCTAGAGAGATAAATGCTATTAGAGAAAAGCACGCATTAATAGTTCCTTTCTCTTTTTCTAAATGTAAACCCAGCATCTATGCCTCACTTCTTTTTTTCTCAGCTATAGCAACTTCCAGTGGACGGCTGGGTCAAGTTAAAGCTTTAGCATCAATGTACTCTGGCACCCACTTGGCTCAGAGATACTTTCTATGTACTTTTATTATTATTATTAAAAAATAAAAGAGAGAAAGATAAAGTGAGAATCACTGTGATTCATGAACCATAGCTAGGTGGCTGATCTGCTTTTCATTTAAAATCACTATTTGTATTAATGTATCCACACTTTGGAACATAAATCTTACTGAAGGTAACAGCATGCTGAGATATACTGTCTCATCCCAACTGAAGCCTAATACATGATATGAATTATCTGACAGCTGGTTACCCTCTAGTTCTAATCCCTGATAGTTTAAATATTCAAGCTGAATAACCTACTGGTGGAAGTATCCTTCCAATAGAATAAAGAAAGAAGAAAGACAAGTGCAAAAACTCGAGTGTGTTACAAAAGTTTCTCTCACAAAAGATTAGAGATCTTAAATTATCATAGAAATGACCATTACTACTAAATATACTACGTTCAAAATTTATTCTTAAAGGAAAATAAATAATCTATCATTATTTTCTTCTATGTTATTTTTTGGTCTTTGAAGTTATTGCCTATTTTGAATAGCATTACCTTAAAATTTGACAAAAGATACTTTAAAATTAGTAATTTATCGAGTTATTATATAAGTTACATAAGTAGTCACATAAATGTCTACAATGGTTAAACTTGTATTTATTTAAGAAATAAAAAAATGCAAATTAAATTTCTCTGTAAATAGCCAAGACACCTGTCTTCTGAGCAGATGCTTTTTTCCCAGTTTAATAATCAGAAAATAACTGAGTTGAGTAAACTTTCTAACTAAAGTATAACATAAATCATAGCATTCAAATCTTAAGCATACTGCTCAATTAATTTTTTTCTAAGTGATTATAAATCGATTTTGAAGACTGTGAAAAATGTATGACTTTTCAAAAAATAGCCAAATACAAATCAAGTAAATAGCACATTACCCTTATAAAGATCTAATAGATAAATAACTTGAACATTTAGGAATTTTTAGTTGTGGCTGAAAGGAACTAACACTGTCATGGTAAAGATATACCCTAAATGTGAGTTTGACTTTTAAAATATTTCTTTTCTAAATCACTACTTTAAAAGGCAATACTATTTGTTTTTCAATGTTTCTAGTTTTGACACGTTATTGATAAAACAACTGTCATATTCACTTGTATAGCACTTTAAATCTTACAAAGCCTTTTCACATAAACTATATTATTTGATTCTATGACAACTGTATGAGGTGGGCAGTATTATTATTATCTTCTGAAACAGGTAACATTGGAGTTCAGTGTCCTTTCCCAAATCAATCATTCTTTTCATCATACCATGTACTTGATTAAAATAAAATCACATCTAACTGACAAAAAAGTATTCCAATTTTGTAAGTTTTCCTACTTTGTTCATATTGTGTTTTAGAAGAAAGTGTACCTTTGATTTTTAAACAATGCACTTTTATTTCAGACAAGTTTCATAAAGATAAAATACAAGTGCATATTCTTACAGCATATGAAAGATTAGGAGGTACCAAAAGCCTTTAAAAAACAAAGAAGTGTGGAAAAGCATGAAAATATTACAAAAGTGTTTGTGTTCACTAATTTAGTACATTTTATTACTTTATTACTTTTTTTATTTTTAGACACTAAAGGTATTTTATAGATTTTCGTTTTTTCTAAAGTCATAGTCAAAACTTCCCACCCCTCCCCAACACATGCCCTCTGCACACCACAAGCTCCTCTTGGACCAGAGCCAGCCTGAGGCACAATTCAGCCTGAGGCACAGTCCCTGGGAAGCTCTGAAGGAGACAAAGCAGAGACAACAGTAGCAGAGGCCACACTGCAGGGCAGAAGTGGGCAACATCTGTGTCTCTGGGGGTTGCCAAGTTTCCTGGATTGTTTAATACATGCTGCTTGCACAATGCCCGCAACTTTTGCCACTGCCTTTTGCTTGACTTAAGCTGCTTTCAATTTGGAAAAATAATGCATAATGGTCAGTGATAGCAGTGAGAGTAGAAAATAGTATTACAATGTATTACATTTCTGATTCTAATAGGGAGGTCCTACTTTAAATGACAGAATTGCTGCTTCTCCAAAGTGACTTTAGACACAGAAGGGGATATTAAGAATTACTTGACTATTTTAAAAGCAGGCTGAAATATAGTTGTATAAAAACAAAAATTACAATAGCAATATACATCAAAAAAAAAAGGAGAGAATCCATTAACTATTAGGGCAAAATCACTGCATATTTCTCTATATCCACTCCAAAGATAATTGCCTTCAGAGTTTTGGCTATTCTCCCTATGGAAATAATTTTTCATAGGCCCTCATTATATTTCTATAAATCTAATATATTGTGATTGTCGTGCCTATTCAATTTTGTCAGATTTCCAATATAATAGAAATTCCCAGCCTTTGTGTTTGGAATCCACTTATAACTTCCCCTCTATCTTAAGTTTTTAGATAGGACAGGTAAATAAAAAAGCAATAAAGGATCAAATGGCAGAAATAGCTGTGTTTAAAGTGTGGGTGTGAAGAAGCCTCCAAAGGAATCTGAAAAGAGCAAAGAAGAATGAGAATAACCACAGGAGATTTCGCACTGTGAAAGAAAGAGAGTAAGTGCGCAGAGTCCTCAACACTGTTAAATGAATACAAAATTAAGATTAAAAAAAAGAAAATTGGCAAAGTCACTGATACCTTTAGATAGTTCTCAACTGGGGGCAATTTTTATCTACCAGGGCACACATGGCAATGTCTGGAAATATTTTTAGTTGTCACAACCAGGGGGTCCCACTGGCATTTATTAGGTAGGGGTAATGAATGCTATTTAACATCCTGCAATGCACAACACAGTCCCCCTAACACGGAATTATCCAGGACAAAATCTCAATAATGCTGATGTTGAGAACCTGTATTATAATGGCTAAAGTACATGAAATCGAGGAATTCATAGGCAGTGAGAAAATGAGTATGGCAAGTGTCACGACTGTTTGCCTTGTAGGGAAAAAGAGGGATAGGATGGAGAACTTTAGGAGCAAGTAGGATACAGAAAAATATTATTTTTTATTTGTTTCTTCAAAGATGGAAAACTTGGCAGTGTTTTAAACTGACAGCAATGAAGAGATGGGAAAGAAACTCAAGACAGCAGAAGAAACATACTGATGGAGTACCGTTCTAAAGTAGATGAGCAGTTAAAATGGGGACAAGTGGTAGAATTTTTGCTTAGAAGAAATGAGAAAACAAGTATTTCCCTAAGATCAAAGGAAATGAACACCAATGGGTAAAAATACAAGTGAGGGGGATTGCAAGAATAGAACAGATATTTTGAGGAGAGCATTCAAAGTTTCCACTTGCTGCCTGAGTTAAGCAGCTAGCCTGTGATCCATTTTCCCTCTTACAGGGGAAAATGGTGTCTGCTTTCCTGAAAGTAAGAAAGCAGATGACCTGGTAGGATCTCTTTGGAAACATACTAATGACAGACTTCCTAGCAAACAAACTGAAGGGTTTTCACTAGGGCAGTTTATCTATATACTGCTTTTGGCAGAATATGTCTGAATTGCTTATGAAAAATGAAGATGGAATCTAAAAATATATAGGCTATGGTTCCCTGAAAAATGTCCATCTATGCTGTATCACTGAGTATAAAATGGAGATGCTTCATATTGAGATGGCTCCTCCTGTACAAATGAGGTCACTGGTACACACCCAACCCTCCAAACCTCATCCAATACCCTGGGCCAGGGCTCATCGGATGCCGAAAGAAAGGGCCTGGGGAGCAAGAGGGATATTCCAGACCACCCCCTACTGCACCTATCTCTCTTGAAACCTGATAAGAATTCTGATTTATGTGAGTCTCTCTTGGCAATAAAATTCTTAATGTTTCTCACTGACACATAAATTAATCACTGTGTGGTATTGAGATAACTAGCTGAGTATGAAAATAATTTTGTATATAATTACAAATGTATACAATAAAGAGCCTAACAGAGAGATTTAAAAGAATTAGTAGGTAGTCTGTTTTAGGTGGGATGTACCAAACTAAGAACAACAGAAGATATATATATATATATGGAATTTCAGAGCAAACTTTTAGCACGAGTAAAATAATCAATGAATGAGATTATAAAAGTGATAAAAATGGCAGCTACTCTAATTTAGAAACGGCTAGTTTAAAACAAAAAGTTATCGGCTGGGCACGGTGGCTCACGCCTGTAATCCCAGCACTCTGGGAGGCCGAGGCAGGAGGATCACGAGGTCAGGAGATGGAGACCACCTTGGCTAACACAGTGAAACCCCGTCTCTACTAAAAATACAAAAAAAATTAGCCGGGCGTGGTGGCAGGTGCCTGTAGTCCCAGCTACTCAGGAGGCTGAGGCAGGAGAATGGCCTGAACCTGGGAGGCGGAGCTTGCAGTGAGCCGAGATTGCGCCACTGCACTCCAGCCTGGGTGAAAGAGTGAGATTCCGTCTCAAAAAAAAAAAAAAAAAAAAAGGTATCACATAGGAAGATTGTGAAATTGCATATGCAGATTCACTTGTAAATTACACTGTTTTACACTTACATTACAAATGTGATAGTTTGTGAGACAATTATAAATGTCTCAATTTTAAAATTACTTAAAAAGAGTATGAATATATTTAGATATTTCTATATTTTTTAATTCTAATGGTCAATACTGAATATAATTCTTCAGTAGTACTATATTTCTTGACCTTTGGAGTCAGAATTTCTTTGACTTATTTAATTTATTGATGTTAATTTAATGTGTTTAAATTTCAACACCATAAAATAAGTATAAAATAAATCGTCTTCATTGTCTAAAATGAATAATGTACAAACCTCAGATTCCAGTGACTGTCACCTCAGAACAGGTAGTTAGTTTACTGAAGGTCAATTCTGTGCTGCAAATTGTGAAGCATCTATTCAGATGGTCAGAGATCTGTCGCAGACCCTGAATCAATAAATATTATCTCTTATGCTATGGAAGCTGTCCCAGCCCATTCAGTTAGCTAAATAAGGAACAAAGCAGTTGTCCTCTCACGGAAAATTAAGAGATAAACTTAACTGATCCAATTAAAAATAATATAACTTGAAAAATAAAAGATAAACAATCTTAGTTTTCTAACTTCTTAATTTTAAAGGGATATGAACTATTAATATCTAAAGTATATCCTAGATTCGTAGGGTTACAGGTAAAAGATATCTAATTCTCATTTACTGCTGTCCTTTTAAATTATTTTCTTAATAAATAAGTACAGTTTATTCTAACATACATATTTCATACTGCTATTGTTACAACATGACTATTTATAGTAAGTTTAATAATGTAGGAGGTAGAGCAATGTGGCTGAATAGAACCCCGAGTGATTGTCCCCACATCGGAACACCAAACTGAACAAATATTCAGGCAAGAAAGCACATTCATAAGAACCAAAAGTCAGGTGAGCAATCATAGTACCTGGTTTTAATAACATGTGAAGGAGAGGCATTAAAGAGGATAGGTACCAAAACAGAGATATAGATCAATGGAATAGAACAGAGCCCTCAGAAATAACGCCACGTATATACAACTATCTGATCTTTGACAAATCTGAGAAAAACAAGCAATGGGGAAAGGATTCCCTATTTAATAAATGGTGCTGGGAAAACTGGCTAGCCATATGTAGAAAGCTGAAACTGGATCCCTTCCTTACACCTTATACAAAAATTAAGTCAAGATGGATTAAAGACTTAAACTTTAGACCTAAAACCATAAAAACCCTAGAAGAAAACCTAGGCATTACCATTCAGGATGTAGGCATGGGCAAGGACTTCATGTCTAAAACACCAAAAGCAACGGCAACAAAAGCCAAAATTGACAAATGGGATCTAATTAAACTAAAGAGCTTCTGCACAGCAAAAGAAACTACCATCAGAGTGAACAGGCAACCTACAAAATGGGAGAAAATTTTCGCAACCTACTCATCTGACAAACGGCTAATATCCAGAATCTACAATGAACTCAAACAAATTTACAAGAAAAAAACAAACAACCCCATCAAAAAGTGGGCGAAGGACATGAACAGACACTTCTCAAAAGAAGACATTTATGCAGCCAAAAAACACATGAAAAAATGCTCACCATCACTGGCCATCAGAGAAATGCAAATCAAAACCATAATGAGATACCATCTCACACCAGTTAGAATGGCAATCATTAAAAAGTCAGGAAACAACAGGTGCTGGAGAGGATGTGGAGAAATAGGAACACTTTGACACTGTTGGTGGGACTGTAAGCTAGTTCAACCATTGTGGAAGTCAGTGTGGCGATTCCTCAGGTATCTAGAACTAGAAATACCATTTGACCCAGCCATCCAATTACTGGGTATATACCCAAAGGATTGTAAATCATGCTGCTATAAAGACACATGCACACGTATGTTTATTGCGGCACTATTCACAATAGCAAAGACTTGGAACCAACCCAAATGTCCAACCATGATAGACTGGATCAAGAAAATGTGGCACCTATACACCATGGAATACTATGCAGCCATAAACAATGATGAGTTCATGTCCTTTGTAGGGACATGAATGAAATTGGAAATCATCATTCTCAGTAAACTATCGCAAGAACAAAAAACCAAATACCGCATATTCTCACTCATAGATGGGAACTGAACAATGAGAACACATGGACACAGGAAGGGGAACATCACACTCTGGGGACTGTTGTGGGGTGGGAAGAGAGGGGAGGGATAGCTTTAGGAGATATACCTAATGCTAAATGACGAGTTAGTGGGTGCAGCACACCAGCATGGCACATGTATACATATGTAACTAACCTGCACATTGTGCACATGTACTCTAAAACTTAAAGTATAATAATAAAATTTAAAAAAAAAAGAGGATAGGAAAGACACTGTTGCATTGCCCAAACCACCATTACTCCATCCTCTGGCAGCACAGACAGAAAATTTGTGAGCTTGTGGGAGGGAGAGTGAAGTGATTGTGAGGCTTTGCATTGGGACTCGGTGCTGTCTTGTCACAAGAGAACACAACACAGAACCAAATTCTGCCAGTGCTCACAGAGAAACCATTTAGAGGTTTCCCCTCCTGCCAGAGGAGAATCCTCCCTCCTAGGGGTAGGAATCTGAGCTCCAGCTAGCTCCACCACCAGCTGACCAAAGTGGCATGGGGTCCCAAATAACTTTGAAAGACAGGTCACAAGAACTTCAGTCCTTGGGCAAATCCCAGTTCTGCACTGGACTTGGAGCCAGTGGACTTGGGGTACACATGACCCAGTGAGACAACACCTGTGGCAGCCAAGGGAGTCCTTGCATCACCCCTCTCCCAATTCCAGGCTGTGCAGCATGGGGAGAGACTCCTGCTTGAGGAAAGGAGAGGGAGGAGTACAGAGGATTTTGTCTTGCAACTGGTAACCAGCTCAGCTACATTAAAATGAAGCACCCTGCATATTCCTGAAGCCACTGATTCTAGACCCCAGCGCCTGGATGGCATTTCTAGACCCAGCCTGGGCTAGAAGGGAACCTGCTGCCCGGAAGGAAGGATCCAGACCTGGCAGGATTCACCATTTGCTAACTAAAGAACATTTGGACCTTGCGTAAACATCAGTGGTAGCCATGCAGCAGTTGTCACAGACCTTGGGTAAGACCCAGTACTGCACTGGCTTCAGGCATGACCCAGTGCAGTTCCAGCTGTGGTGGCAATGGAAGTACTTACATTACCCCTCCCTCAGCTCCAGGCCACCTTACCACAGAGTCTCCTTCTGTTTAGGGGAAAGTGAAGGAAGAGAAAAAGAGACTTTGCCTGGTAAGCATTACCATTTACAACAGCAATAATAATAAAATATGTAAACTTTACTGGAATAAACTTAACCAAAGAAGTGAAAGATCTCTACAATAAAAACTATGAAACACTGATAAAGTAAACTGAAGATGAAACTGAAAAATCAATATTGTTAAAATATCCACACTTACCTAAGCAATCTACAGATTGAATGCAATCCATATCAAAATACTAATGACATTCTTCACAGATATAGAAAAATGATCCTAAAATTTTGATGTAACAATTCAAAATACCCAGAATAGCCAAAACCATCATGAACAAAAAGAATAAAACTGGAGGAATCACATTATCTGACTTCAAATTACATTACAAAGCTATAATAACCAAAATAGCATGGTAGTATCATAAAAACAGACACGCAGACCAATGGAACAGAGTAGAGATCTCAGAAATAAATCCACACATATACAGTGAATTCATTTTCAACAAAAGTGCCAATAACATACATGGAGGAAAGGACAGATTCCTCAATAAATGGTGCTGGAAAACTGGATATCCACATGCAGAGAATGAACCTACACGCCTATCTCTTGCCATATATAAAAATCAAATCAAAATGGATTAACACTTAAATCTAAGACCTCAAACTATGGAACTATGGAAGAAAACATTAGGGAAACTCTCCAAGACATTGGTCTTGGCAAAAATGTCCTGACTAAGACCTCAAAAACACAGGCAACCAAAGCATAAATGGAAAAATGGGATCACATCAAGCTAAAAAGCTTCTGCACAGCAAAGGAAACTATCAACAAAGTCAAGAGACAACCCACAGAAGGGGAGAAAATACCCATCTGACAAGGTATTAATACTCAGAATATATAAGCAGCTAACACAACTCAATAGAAAAGATAACTAAATAATCCAATTTAAAAATAGGCAAAAATATCTGAAGAGACATTTCTCAAAAGAAGACAAGCAAATGGACAACAGGCATATAAAAAGTGTCTTTTATCCAAACGACAGGCAAATAACAAATGCTAACAGGATGTGGAGAAAAGGGAACCCTTGTACACTGTTGATGAAAAGGTAAAGTAGAACAACCAGTATGGAGAACATTTTGGAGATTCCTTGAAAAACTAAAAATACAGCTACCATATGATCCAGCTTTCTCACTGCTAAGTATGCACTCGGAAAAAAGAAATTAATATATCAAAGAGATATCTGCACTCCCATGTTTATTGCAGCACTATTCACAATAGCCAGGACATGCAATCAACTTAAGTGTCCATCAGCAAGCAAAAGGATAAAGAAAATGTGGTACATACACACAATAGAATATTATTCAGCCATAAAAATCAGATGAGATCCTGTCAATTGCAACAACATGAATGAGACTGGAGGACCTTATTTTAAATAAAATTAATGAAGTGTGGAAAGACAAATTTTGCCTATTCTTACTCATATACAGGAGCTAAAAATTAAAACATTTGAAGTCACAGAAATACAGAATAGAATGATGGGTAACAGGAGCTGGAAAGAGTTGGAGGGTTGGGGGGACATTAATGTATGCAAAAATATAGTTATGTAGAATGAATAAGATCTAGTACTTTATAGCACAATAGGGTAACTATAGTGAAAAAATTATTTATTGTATATTTTAAAATAACAAAAACCTGGAATTGGAATGTCCCTAACACAAACAAATGATAAATGCTTGAGGTGATAGATAACCCAATTACCTTGATGTGATTAGTATTAATATAAATTGCATTCCTGTATCAAAATATCACATGTACCCCATAAATATATCCACCTATTATGTACCTGTAATAATTATTAAATTATGTTATCACAGAGGTAACAATGTAGGTGCTAAGTATTACTCAAACCGATCTTTAAATCATTTAAGAAGTGAGTTAAGTGTATGAATAAACTATTACTAATTTTGCCCAACAAACATACAAATTGTGACAGCTTCTAAATGAAAATGACTCATCTCAAAGTTCAGAAAGACAAAAATGAATGGAATATTTTTATTCAATCCTGCTTCTAAAGGCAACTCTGAATCTATAAGCTTATAAGAAACGAAGTGAGCTGGACTAGATAAAATAGCAGCGGATTTTAAAAATCTTCGCTTACCCATATTTGACCAAGATATTATATTTTAATGGGCTTAATGAATACCACAAATATTTGACTATTTCTTGTCCTCATTGTATGGCCAGTTTATAACTATCGTACTCATATAATCCTAGAAACCATTCTATAAGGCTGATAATCCTAAAATAAATTGTGCTTCCACTGGAACAATGTCATAATTGGTATGGCCTTCCTGATCAAGGATTTAGTGTCAAAAAAGCCAGAGCTTTATCAGACAATGCATCATAAGAAATACCTGTATATTTGAATAATAAGTTAAAATGTCAAAACTGTGCATAAGCACTCCACACACAATTCTTGTACTAGAAGCCTTAATTCACATCTATATAAACATGTATCATTATTTAACCAGAAATTTTACCTTTAATTTATTCATATTTATTAGATGCCTATTTTTCCACCAGGTGCTATATTAATGACCGCAAGAAATGCCAGTATATACACAGCTCCTTCCATTTAAACGATTGAAACCTTTCAGGTAAAATGAGACACATTCAAATAACTATGTGGTGAGTGTTACGTCCATGATACAATTTAGAAGGGTACTGAAAGGAAAATATGATTAGTAACTGGAAAAACAAATAAAAGCATAAAGGATTAGGGCTATTAACCTAAAATGTATGCCAGTTATCAACAAATGTAATTTCATGTTTAATGAGTGATACTTGTGATTTTCTTCCTTAAAATTTATAAGAATTGAGGAGAATGATTCATATGGCTCCATTTCCTGAAAAATATTAATGGCTTCCATTTTTATTAGATGTCCCTGTAACCAAGCAATATTTGCTTTAATTCTATTAACAGTCAGTTACACTAAAAACTGCAATCGTTATTTTAACTCCCCAAAGCCATTAACATTTTTACATACTGGAAAGTCTCATTAAGGATTTCAAGATTAAGAAATTTTCAAAATCAGATCTTCTAATTATCATCTTTGCTTTTTTTTGAGAGAGTCTTGCTCTGTTGCCCAGACTGTAGTGCAGTGGCGCGATCTCGGCTCACTGCAACCTCTGCCTCCCACATTCAAGGGATTCTCCTTGCCTCAGCCTCCCAAGTAGCTGGGACTACAGGCGCGTGCCACCACGCCTGGCTAATTTTTTGTATTTGTAGTAGAGACAGGGTTTCACCGTGTTAGCCAGGATAGTCTTGATCTCCTAACCTCATGACCCGCCCACCTCGGCCTCCCAAATTGCAGGGATTACAGATTTGAGCCACTGCACCCAGGCTGTCTTGTTTTTAATTTCAAGCTTGAGCAACTTTCATGCCGTGAAACAGAAGTGTGAAGGTGTATATACCAAATGAGCCCAGTGGGATTCTTTTGCTTGGCGGATTGTACAAGTGGGGTGTTTTGAGACTGATTTGTTTTAATATTAATCATGAGATTCATTTTGTACGTTCTTCTTTACTGTCCCAACTTTCTTTCAGCAAACCTGCTCAGCACTAGCAGCTGGGTCTCAGTTAGAGAAATGAACAAAAGACACAAGAAAGTTATGCATATATTTAACAGTGTCATTGAGTGTGTGAGATAAGGCACAGACAAAGCTGGGAAACAGGAGTTCATGTGCCCATTTTAACTCTTCTTAACTTTGGATTTCGATGCTCACAATCCAAATGAAGCATGCCCCACCCATTCTGAACTTAGAGATGGTCAAAATGGTTAAATCTGTTGTATTGGCAAGATAATGTTTAACCTTATCTCTCCCTTTGGGAACTCAAAAATCCTCAAGCACTGTCTCTTTCATCTTTGATTCTTCAGAGCAGATTGTCAATAAATATTTATTGTAAGAAACTGTGAATGTTTTAATGAATGAAGAAATGAAGAATTATAATGAATAAAGGATAAGCTAATAAATGAGAAAACAGCAGGCCCCAGAAGAAAAGTAAATGAATAGTAAAGTGTTTGGCTATCTCAAATAGGGTACAGTCATATTATTCTACTATTATCAATAATAAGTAAATTCTGCAGTTCAACATACCAAAAAATTAAATGTGATATGAGATGCTAACGATCTGCAACTAACTACTTCTTATTAATCAAATATAAATCGGATTTGTTCTTCTACCAAAGTCCTACAGTTATGTTTTTACTGTGTCATTCACAGTTTCCACATAAAAGCAGCAGGATGCTAAATGAAAGAAAACATGCTGTGTCAGAGTAAAATTGGCCATAAATGAAAGTTGTCTGAATCACTTAGCACAAATAGTACAGGGCAACTTTGCAAATGCATTTGCTGAGTAATCTGAAGATAATGCAACCTTCAAAACCAACTGCTTGGTGCAATGAAAATAAATACTTACAAAAATAGTAAAGATTCCTTGAGTCAAGGAAAAAAGTAAACTTAGTTCACTTAAGATACACATCTCAAGGCCTTTAAGTAAGGAAGAGAGAATATTCTAAAGAATAAAACCTGTAGTATATATGAATTCTTCAGTTACAGAGATGTTTTCATCTTTTCAACCACAAAGACCAGGACAGTGTGAAGCACAAAGTCAGGGCCCATTAAATGACTCTGGACAAAAGGGAAAGAGGAGGCAGTCAGTAAATCTCGATTAATTAAAAGAACTTGGATACAACAAAATATTTGGGAATATGAGTCATTAAGTGTTCACCAAACCTAAGTCTCCGCCTCTAGATACAGGAAACTCATTATTATTCTTGGCTGCTTTTGTTTCTAGTTTGGGCCATATGATTAGATCTGACCAATGAGTTGTGAGCAGAAGAAAGTGAGTTTCACAATTCAAAGTATTTTATTACAGGGACCTCCAGAGATCTCTTTCTTTTTGCCATGGTAAAAGGCAATGTTTGCAGAGTTAGCTGCTTCCACAGCCTGAATACAGGAGGAGGAGACATTGAACAGAACCCCAATGCCTTCCACAATAAACATGTAGCCTAAGTGAGAAAGAAATCTATATTATATAAGTCGCTAGATTTGGAAGTTATTATTTATTTATTTTATTTTATTTATTTATTTTTGAGACAGAGTTTCACTTTGTTGTTCAAGCTGGAGTGCAGTGGCATGATCTCAGCTGACTGCAACCTTCACCTCCCAGGTTCAGGCAATTCTCCTGCCTCAGCCTTCCGAGTAGCTGGGATTACAGGCACTGGCCACCATGCCCAGCTAATTTTTGTATTTTTACAAAATGCAAATAGAGACGGGGTTTCACCATCTTGGCCACGCTGGTCTTGAACTCCTGACCTCAAGTGATCTGCCTGCCTCAGCCTCCCAAAGTGCTGGGACTACAGGCTTGAGCCACCACGCCCAGCGGTATTTTTTATCACTTAGCCAAGTTTATCCTGACTCATCCACTTAGGCATTTTTCCTTCCTTTAACGGTACCAGGTCTTCTGTATTGTTCATTATATATGAATCTACTCTCACATTAACTTTTTTAGAGAGTAATCTTGTAAATATTTAGAGTTAGAATTCCCTATGTAAAGCCATTGGAGAACCCATGAGAAATCCTTACATGTATACATTTATATACCATAGTCTGGAGAGAAACTTCCTGAAGTAAGTTCTTTAAAGAAATATGTTCTTTAACTTTTTTCTAGAACAGCATTTTAAATTTTTTGGACAATCGCAAGAAATGTATTCAGAAAGCTACTCATTAGAGAAAAATTGGAAAAATACTATAAAGAGGTTTGAAAAAATATAATAAATGTGAACACTTATCAAATTGTTCCAAATTTACTTTGGATTCCTTTAATAAACCTAAGCCAATCCCAATTTGTTCTCGGCATTTGATGTTTGAAGAGTTCATACATCCTGTCCTTTCGCTTCCAGATTGAAATACCCCAGAAGTACACAAAAACAACAGAACTGTGGTATATCTAACTATATCTAATCCATCAGGTAATATCTTCGGTCTTTCAGGAAATGCTCAGCATCTTAATAAATAGAGCCATATTTTATTATGAGAATTGAAATCCCCATGAACTACATGAAGGGCTGCATTAATGCTAACATTAAAAGTTAGGAGTAAAGAAGTATTACAAAACTGCTAAGTATGAATATCCTCTTTTGTGACAAAGTTCCTTTTTGATGGGATATCTCTCAGTAAGGACATTGATACTATTCATCAGCATTTCAAGAAACATGACCGCATTTTAAGTTCAGATTAAGCACTAAATTTTGTTTCTGTTTTCCTCTTTTGTATCTCTTACAGAATGCTGCAGCCTAGACTTAGAGCAAGCAAGGTTAGATTGCTTTAAATGTTTTAATTTCATTACACCAAATTGATGCAAACAATTGAAAAATGGCTCAACTTAATTTTAAATCGAATACATTTTCCCAAAAGATTGTAGGATTTGAACTTAGAAAGGATCCAAATCCAAATCTTATCTCTGCCATTTATGAGCTATGTCATTTTAGGCAACCTGCTTATCTTCTCAGTACCTTATTTTCCTCTTTCGCAAAATTTGATCACCACAGAATCATTTAGTTGATAGTACTGTTGTGAGGACTGAATGTGATAATACATGTCAGGCATTAAAAGTAGTCACTTGGTTCCAACAAGCATTAAAAACACATGTTTCTATTATAATTGCTTTAAAATAAAATAACTGAACCATGGATACATTCTTAAATACATGCAGTTGCTTAAATTATTTTGGAAGAGGAATATAGAAAATGTGCCAGTGTTCACACAGACAGCTACAATTTTCCAAATATACATCACTTGTTTCACATGTATCTAGAACTAAATAATCCCTACCATTTCTTCCTTACAGTGCTACAAGTTAAAAAACATATTTCATGCATTTTAAATTAATTAATTAAGTGTGAAGTAACTGCTCAGGTGCGGTGACTCACACCTGTAATCCCAGCACTTTGGGAGGTGATGTGAGTGGATCACCTGAGGTCAGGTGTTCAAGACCAATCAGGCCAACATGGTGAAACCACATCTCTACTAAAAATACAAAAATTAGGCAGGCATGGTGGCACACACTTGTGGTCCCAGCTACTCGGGAGGCTGAGGCACAAGAATCACTTGAACCGGGGAGGGGAGGTTGCAGAGAGCCGAGACTGCACCACTGCACTCCAGCCTGGGTGACAGAGTGAGACTCTGCCTTAAAAAAATTAAAAATTAAAATAAAAAATGAATAAACTGTAAAGTAACTGAAAGATGAGACATAACTTGTAAAATCCAAAGGAAGATGGTAAGATCGTGAAGTAGTTTTTGGTAGTTCTCTTTAGGAAATTCAAAAGTTTCAGTATTTATTTCAGTAAGTTTCATCTGTAAATCCAATGAACATGTACAATATTTTACCAAGTTTCTGTTCCAACCCTGATATACTGTCCACCACCACGGCAGTGGTGTCTTTCTGCCATCTAGTGGACAGACTATAATACTACAGGCACACTTTTGAAAATTTAAATATAAGGCCTCAAAGGAACAAAACCACTTTTGTTTCTTAAGTTTTAAATCTTAAAAGCGGATCGGAGGGCTGAGCGTGGTGGCTCACGCTTGTAATCCCAGCACGCTGGGAGGCTGAGGCGGGTGGATCACTTGAGGTCAGGAGGAGTTCAAGACCAGCCTGGCCAACATGGTGAAACCCCCTCTCTGCTAAAAATACAAAAATTATCTGTGCATGGTGGCAGGTGCCTGTAATCCCAGGTACTCGGGAGGCTCAGGCAGGAGAATTGCTTGAACTGGGGAGGTAGAGGTTGCAGTGAACCGAGATCGCACCAGTGCACTCCAGCCTAGGAGACAGAGCGAGACTCTGTCTCAAAAAAAAAAAAAAAAAAAAAAAAAAAGTAAATCTGAGAAGAGTGACTTTGTGATATTATAAGAAGCACTTTTTACATTTTATTTATTTATTTATTTATTTTTTATTTATCTTATCGAGACCAGGTCTTGCTCTGTTGCCCAGGCCGAAGTGCAGTGGTGCAATAACTCACTGCAGCCTCCAACTCCTGGACCCAAGTGATCCTCCCACATCAGCCTCCTGAGTAGCTGGAACTACAGGTGCAACCACTTCTAGCTAATTATTAAATTTTTTTTTAGAGATGAGTTCTCAATATTTTGCCTAGGCTTGTCTCAAACTAGAATTATTTAAATTAAATGCAGTATGAAAAACACATGAGATATGAGAGAATATGTAAAAGGCACAACTTTGAGCAAGTTGAATAGTGTAACCCTATTAATATAAATGCCTCTCCATGAAGAAATACTGAAAATGTTGTGATGATAAATGTTTTGTAATACTTCATTAGTCCTAACTTTTAATGGTGCATCAATTGGAAATCCGCTTTAACATATTTTCATACTTAGACCAAAAATATCCACTGCAACAATAATAATATAATAGCCAATGCACAAAAGAACAAAACGAAGCATGAAATATATGTTTCCATATGTACAAATGTAAACACATACTCACATAGTCATTCTTTAGTATAATGGAAACAAGACACCTATTATCACTTGCTATTTTGTGGTTACAAATTTGCCCAGGATTAAGAAATGGTCACACCAGAAAAAAACGATTAAAACCTCTAACATCAAGCACAGTGATTTTGCTATCACACAATGTTACCTTACTAACTTAAGGCTTCTTCACAAAATAATTATCAGATCTCAATTACCTAATATTTTCATTTGAAACCCAATTATGTAAAACAATAGAGATATCATAAGTGATTTATTTTTGAGCATTTTTCACATATATGCATGGATAGGTAGGTAGAAAGATTATTTTAAGGAACATTTTTAGATAATAGATGTTAAATACACTGCTGAAAAAGGACACATTTGTGAGAAGGTGAGCAAAGTGATCTCCAAAAGGCAATCACACTCTAATACTTGTGAAACCTGAGGCCACATGGACCCAAGGCTGCAGTTCGCCCCTCATCTCTTCCCACCCCTGGGTCCATCTCATACCATGAGGGAGCTTCATACTAATGCCTCTGTGACACCCTAGTTCACACATACAAACTCAGACCATGCCTCTCCCCACACACCCCACCTCCACCCTCATACTAAAAGCAGGCTCTACAATTTGGACCAGGAATAGGGTATCTTGATTACCTCCAATGTATGCAAGCATTGGATGGGCATTTCACATTGGTCCTCATAAGCTTCACACCAACTCCTCACCCTTTGTGGAAGGGCACTGCAGGAGGACAGCGAGGATAGGGTCTACAGGGACTAAGAGTGGTACTGGAGTAAGTGTGATTTACAAAAGGGTATTTTCTGGAGGGCTATATGGTGGAGAGAAGATGTGAAATAATGGTGTCAAAGGGGAGCCTCATGTTCAGCATTTTCCCTAGTTTCTGTATTCAAGTGTCTTGTTCTAGAATAAAGAATGTCAAACTTTCCATGGAAGCAAGGAAGACAGGAACTAAAGACAGCTGTCATGGTGAACTCCATCCTGACCTAGGTGAAAAATTTGTTTCTCTGACTTGTAATGTCAACTATGGAAACAAATTTTCCCTTCAAATATGAGGTGTCTATCCTGTAGTCTGTGTTCATTTTGCAAGAGACATGAACATGTCGGATATAGACAGCATTATTTTATTAGAGGCAGACATATGTATATACTTACCAAACTGTTCATTTTTGAAGATGAAGAACCTGCTCTTTGCTTTCTTAAACTATTAACTTCTTCTATATTTCCATCTTTCGGTTTCAAAATCATTCTGCTACTCCCTGCAGTGCCTTCTGACGAGGATCGCAGTCTCCTCTCTATAAATCTTCCTTCACGAAATGGACTGAGACTACTGGCAAGAACTATGGAAAGGAAAATAAATAAAAATGAAGGTAAATATTTAAATGTAGTTTTTACAAATGTCCCACTGAAAGATCATGAAAAACTCTTAGTGTTATTCAAAGTTTCTCTATCACAAGAAAACTTTTAAATGTATAGCATCAGTTTAGTTCACTTAATCATGTAATCTCTTTGAAGCCCAAAACGTTTGGAGTCATCCTTTGTTGCTTCGTTGCTCACATTAATCACATAAATGAATCCTGTCCTTATTTCCTTCAAACTGTATACAGAATCTGATTCCTTCTACCTCTCCTTCTAAGACCCTGGACCAAATCTATGCTGGCTTGGTTACTGCAATATTTGCTACAATTCTCCTACCTCTGCCTACTCTCATCTGCCTCTCCACCCGCAACACAATCTACATTCCACATAGTAGCCAGAATCATATACTTAAAACATAAGTGAGGGCCATCACCACCACTCCTCTAGCCAAAAGGTGATGTTTTTCAAATGGCATAACAAATTCTTCATAATATGACCCATATGACTGCTCTCTCTGTCCCCAAACCAGGGACAGGAGGAGCACCCTGTTCACCTGCTCACCTCTGCAATCTCATGTCCTGCTCTCCCCTCCATCACTCTGCTCATGCCACACTGGACTCTTGCTGCTCTGGTACATCACTGGCATGCTCCAGCCCTACACAGCCTTTGACTCACAACCTTGCACTAATATATTTCTCTCAAATATCTGTATGACTTATTATTTAAGTTCCTTCAAACCTTTACCAATATGTTACCTTGGGTATCATCCTGTTACATTTAAAAATGCAAACTGGAATCCCACTTCTGCTTCCTAAGCCTTTATTCTGCTTTAAACTTACCCTCAGCAGTTATCACCATCTGATATATATAGCATGTTAACTGAGTATCCCCAGTGGAAAGTAAGCCTCAGGAAGGCAGGGATCTAGGCCTGTTTTGTGTATTGCTACATCCCTAGTGCCTAACATAGTGTTAAAACAATAAATATTTGCTGAATGAATGAATGAGTAAATGAAAAAATTGTTCTAATTAGGCTCATCTACTAGTTTAAAGACTGTCCAGAATCTATTAGTCCAATATATAGCAGTTCTTTTTAAATAACTTTTTAAGACAATGAATAAAAGTTAAATTGCCAGATAACTCATTAGTTCTGACATGATTGTACACCTAGAACACTTAGATGTGTATAAAGTACTGGCTTAAATATTTCATACAAAATACAAACTAAATTTAGCATTATGAAAGTTAGTGTCTATAGCAACTCTTTATTGGATAAAATACATTTACTTAGCTGTTTTTAAAATTTTAAACTTCAAAATTATAAAATCCTTATAAATAGCACATGAATATTTTCAAAAACTAAAGGATAGTTTAGTTTGTTGACATTACCAGCTTATTTATCCAAGAACAGCCAACACATTATCAAATCAGCAAAATTAATGTGTTATTGTGTTACAAATAGGATCCCAATCAACATAGTAATAGTCTCCAAGATAACTGATCATTCTCTAATTTCCAGAGAGAGAAAAATATGCAGTATTCAATTAGGCTTTGAGGAAAGTCATCATTACTAAATAAGAATTAGATATGTCAGGATAATTGCATTTCTATCTCTTTTTTATATAATTTTAAAACTTCCTGGATTTCAATATCAAGTCCATCATTTGCTAACTATGTGACCCTATAAAGTTATTTAACTTATTATAAATTTTAGTTATTAACATGACATGCAAAATTTTTATAAGGACTATATGAAACAGTGCATGCAATCTTCTTAGTACATTTTTGGGCATATATTAATTATACAAAAGGGTAACCATCATTAATATCATCATCATTATCATATTCTCATGATTATATTACAGGTAAAGGAGCTAGGCATATATGACTAAAGAATACAAAGTTCCAAAAATGGACAAACATGGTCACGTGCATAAAAGTGATCTTGTATCAAATGAGAAAAGTATTAAGACAGCTGGAAAATTAACTCATGCATTTAAAACTTTGAAATTCTATGTTTATGGATAAACTTTATAATCCTATTACTCGTGACATTATGTCACATAAATTTTATTTAATATTTTAAGTCATGACATGTAGTAAAGCATAGTTATGGAGAGCCAGAGCTTTGGATTCAGAGAGTTGTAATCTGACTGCACTACTTACCAGCTGTATGATTCTTTAGCCTGTTTTCACATTTGTAAAATGGGAAACATAGGAGCCTACCTCATAGGATTTATATCCCAATAAATGAATTATTAGTTTTGTGATTGTGGACACACAGTTTATCTTTGCTCCCATCTTCTTGCCTGCAAAATAGCTTATAATAATAGTAGCAATTTCAATCATTTTAATTAATGTATATAAAGTATACAGAATAATATCTAGGACATAATAATCACTTCCAAATTTGGGAAAATTATTAGTAGCAGTAGTAGCATTAATGATAGTAGAGAAAAAGGAATTAAAATATGTCAAAGATAGCCCAGCAGGTGGTATATATTCAAAAATTTTCTTGAACTGAATTTCATGTTAAAAAAACAAAGTTTTCTGTAGCCATATTACAGTAATGGACATATACTAACACTTTTTTTAAACTAAAGGGAAGGTGTCCAAAGTTGCACAGTTAGTTAATGTCAGAGGCAGAGTTGAAACCTGTCTCCAGCTTCCAAAGATAGGTTTTTTTAAGCTTACAATTCTGTTATTGTATCTAGAGATAGGAATTATTTATGTTGAAACATGGATCCTAATTAATAATGAAAGCTTAGTTAACAAAGGAAATTATAAAATTCGTATTAAATTATACAAATTTTATAGTGATTTTAGCTGGAATATATCCATTTCATTAAATAAGAAATACCAATGCCTCTATAATAAACTCTATAAAAGACAGTCCTTACTTTGGAGAAATCCACATTGCAAACAATTACTTTCCATTCACTTTCTTCTGAAGGTGCTCCAATAAACACCGTAACTAAGAGGCTGCTTCTTAGTTATGGATAACATAAGTGAGAAAAAATGAGTAATATTGCTGAATTACATTTTCAGCATAACACAATTGATGTAAGTTTAAAATCAAGCAGGGGAAACATTTAACACAAATTATGAATAGGAAACCATTTCGAAAGTGAAAAACAAGAAAAATGTGGTTTCCATTCATGAGATGGAATAAGAAAACTGAATAAAGTATAATGAAAATTAATTCATATCATTTGTTATACAAAAAAAATCAGCATACCTTTGGCAGGATTTGCTTCATATCCATGTGATGTTTTGTTAAAAATATGATGATCACCAGAAGTAGGTATTATCTTTGAATCTGAAATAGGATGGATCCCTTTTACATGTTCCGCTATTGCTTTATGTTGCTCATAAAATCCAAGTTTCCTTGGGGAGTTTGTCCCCAGCATTGTTTCACCATTTTGTAACCCTATATTTTCTTCTCTTTCACTATCTGCTGGTAGGTTACTCTCTGAGTGGCTCACACTTGTAGCAGGTAGTTCAGCAATTTGTAATAACACTTCCTTCTGATTAGCAGCAGAGGTTTCCGGTAATGAATTAGATTCAGTGCTACATTGACCCTCTAACCTATATTTCCCAGGAGACATAATTGCACAGGGAACAGTTCCCGTAAGTTCTGTTGTTGTCTTTGTAACAGCAGCAGAATTGAGGGACATCTGAGAGGTAGAATCATTGTGGCCAAAGTTGTCACAGTGGGATGCCATGCTTCCACTTTTAGAAAATGCATCCATTTCAGACACAGAATCTTCAGTCAAGGCTAAAAATTCTGAAGGTGTCTGAGCTGTGGTAAGATCAGCAGAAAGCAAAGGAGATTGTAAAGAGCTTCCTGCCCGTTCTGTTACATCCACAGAACAGGATGGCGAAGCTCTTACTAATACAGGTTCTCTCTCTTGGTACTGTGTAACTTCCAATGAGAATTCAGACTGTTGTACCAATGAAATGGATTGGCTCTGTAGAACTGGCTTAGAAAATTTATAGTGAGATGAAAAAGATTTAGGGAGTAGCTTCCTTGTTGACTGCTTAACAGAACGACGAGTTTGGTCTTCTGTGAAACCAGAATCATCCCCTTCACTTTTGCCAGAACTTAGACAATTTATAAAGACATTCTTGTTAGTTGAGTGCTCTTTTTCCCTTTCAAAATCCTCTGTCAAAGATCTTGTTATCTTCTTATTTCGTGAACTACTAAAACCAACAGAATGTCTTCCCCTGGTCTTAATATGTTCTTCCAAACTCAGTTTCTGCATATTGCTGTGACCAGGTTGAGCACCATTTGAAATACTAAGGTTCTGGTTGGTAGGCTCTTGCTTAGGCTCACTCCCCTTCTTATGGTGGAAGCTAATGGAAGGAGTACGGAATATGCTCCTCCGTTTACCTGTGCTACCTGAGCTTGAGTTAGTGCTGGAAGGAGAGGAACTGTGGACACCAACTGTATTACTGGAAGAAGGTGAAGAAGGAAGAGAATCATGTCTTCTGTTAATACTTCTTCTGAATATTGGCAACCGGGAGACCAGGGTAGATCGTCTTGATCCTGAGTCCCCCATTGGGAATCAAAGGCTTGCACTGTGAAAGCCAACTTTGCAGCCTGAGAAAGGTTAAAACAAAAACAACAAGTCAATAGAATTCAACTACAAATAATACATTTTAAAACAAAATATTGCTTTTCGAGACACAAAATAGAATTTAGTTTATACTAAGACGATAAATAACAAAAATCTGATACCTAATAAAGATTTTTTGAATTTATAAGTAGTAAAAATGACCCAATAGCTAGTATTGATATTTTGTAATGATGCAAACATTTTAAGATTAACAGAAATATTTAAAGTTTATGCAAGAGTGTTGGCTTTGGAGACACCAGGTATTTAAGACCCAGACTTCCTACTTATAGCTGTTCCATAATTTTGGTAAACTGTTTATTCTTAACTTTTTATGTTTATTTATTTAGATGCAGTAGGCACGTGACAGACATAAAAATTTCTGTCTGGGTAAATGCCCCACCATGACTCCTGTCAGAGACCACTAGAAGTATTTTCATTTTACACCACACGACTCAACAAGTTACTGACGTGAGCTCAACAGAATCACAAACAAGACAATGGTATAGCCTGACACTACAATCAGCACTCAAAGAAAAGCCAATGGCTATAGACTTTTTTTCTTCTCTTTTTTTTTTTTAAATTATGCTTTAAGTTCTAAGGTACATGTGGACAATGAGCAAGTTAGTTACATATGTATTCATGTGCCATGTTGGTGTGCTGCACCCATTAACTCGTCATTTACAATAGGTAATTCTCTTATGCCATCCCTCCCCCCTCCCCCCACCCCAGGACAAGTTTGGTTTGGGAAGCTGAGAGATAAGCAGGCCATTAGAAGAAGAAACTAAATCACAAGGATATAACATAGGGTTATAAACAAGTTAAACTTATGAGAGAACCACAGGTATCAGTTGAAGAAAATACTTGAGTAAAAACTAAGACAGTTGGTAACCTTGAGAGAAGTGACAATACATACTGAGAGAATCAGAAGCATAGAACATTTATGAACCATATTAATGTCAGTATATTCAGGGTATCAATGGAGAAGATAAAGGAGGAGGAGGACACGAGTGAGGAGATGTGGCAGCTACAACTCATCAACTGCTACGTACCAGGTACTTTCCCACAGATTATCTCTTTCACACCTTATATTTCTAGAAATAAGTAATAAGACTATGAACATTTTACAACAGAAAAGCAACTTGCATAATGTCATTCAGCCAACACCTGGTAAAGCAGGAATAAAAAACCCTACAGGGTCAGCTCATAATCAGCATGATACATACTGCATTCACTAAAGTAATTAGTCATGAACTCCTACTGCTGAATGAAGGCCCAGCTATGTTTCTACATCAAGGATTCAAACTTGTACAGCAAATATTGCTATTCTAGTGACTGCCATTTTTCACTGATTTTTAAACTGTACCTGATTTGGTTGCTGTTTTGTTTATGAGTTTTGCTTAATCCTTCAACTGTAATACGATCTCTCCCTTTGTAAATTGAATCAGACTCTGTTTCATTTCTTAGTCTTTACAACCAAAACTACGTGACTAAAAATTAACAAATACTATACAAAATTTAAAATCCTCTATTTTATCATCCTGATAAATATGAGAACTGATCAAGTAAAATACTTTCATTTCCTTGAACAAGTATGTGACAAAAATGACAAATATTTGCTTTCAGATATGCATTCATAAGTATTTAATATTTTTCTCCAAACAACATAAAATCTAACATATTTGTATTATAAGATTTTTGATGGATGATTTTTCACTACAGTCAATGAATTTAATTTTAAAAATTGATTTTATTTTTAATTGACAGATGACAATTGTATATACTTATGAGGTATAACGTGATGTTTTGATATTTTTATATTATGAAATAAGCAAATTAACATACTTATCACCTCATATACATATCATTTTTTGTAGTGACAGCACTTAAAATCTACTCTTTTAGCCATTTTGAAATATGCAGTACATTATTATTAACTATAGTCACCATGCTGTCGAATCAACCTCTAAAACTTATTTCTCCTGTCTAACTGAAACTCTGTACCCTCTGAACATTATTTCCCCATTCCCCTGGCCCCGACACCCCAGCCCCCGGTCCTTCCATCCTGGGGCCTGGTAGCCATTCTACTTTCTACTTCTATGAGTTTAATTATTTAGATTCCATATATAACTGAGATCATGCAATATTTGTCTTTCTGTGTCTAGGTTATTTCATTGAGCATAATGTCCTCCAGGTTCATCCATGTTGTGACATGTGACAGAATTTCTTTTTTAGGCTGAATAGCATTTCATTATATAAATAAACCACATTTTCTTAATCCATTCATCCACAGATGTACACTTAGGTTTGTTACATATCTTGGCTATCATGAATAATGATGCAATAAGCATAGGAGTACAGATATCTCTTTGACATACTGATTTCAATTGTTTGGCTATATACCCAGAAGTAGGATTGCTGGATCATATGGTAGTTCTGTCTTTAGTTTTTGAGGAACCTCCATACTGTGTTCCATAGAGGCTGTGCTAATTTACACCCCCACCAACAGTGTGCAAGAGTTCCCTTTTCTCCATATGAATTTGAATTTAAATCAAACTATATGTGAAACACTCCAAAACATTTCAGTATTCTTGTAAGGCTTTGCTTGAAGAAAACCTAAAACATAAACAGACATTTTAGCTCTTACAATTTTTCACAAATAAAAATGTGTGATTTTCCTCACAGCTTAGATTTTCCAAAGTGTATACAATGAATAATACATTTTTTCATGACTATATTCTTTAAAATGGTTTAACTAACATCACTTACAGCCACGATATTTTTCACTTATATACAACATTTATTTCCATTCAATGCCTATTGAAGAATTTTGCTCTAATTAGAATATAATCAACCATAATGATTTGCAGCTGGTTGTGAACCTACAGACTTCAATGCATGAATGTCAAGATGTCAACCATCATTACTGAAATACTCAAATTTATGTATATTAAAATATTTATTGGCCATTTTTAAAGTATTTCCTGCATTTGGATCAGCATTAACAGTAAATGAGGCCGGGCGCGGTGGCTCACGCCTGTAATCCCAGCACTTTGGGAAGCCAAGGCAGGCAGATCACGAGGTCAGGAGATTGAGACCATCCTGGCTAACACGGTGAAACCCCGTCTCTACTAAAAATACAAAAAATTATCCAGGCATGGTGGTGGGCGCCTGTAGTCCCAGCTACTAGGGAGGCTGAGGCGGGAGAATGGCATGAACCCAGGAAGCGGAGGTTGCAGTGAGCCAGATCAGGCCACTGCACTCCAGCCTGGGTGGACAGAGTGACACTCTGTCTCAAAAAAAAAAATAAAAAACACCAACAACAACAGTAAATGAAAGAGTCAGTCCCATAACTCTTTAGCAAGTATTCAAAGGATTCAACTAATGAGAAACATTTTTAAACAATTTTATTTTTTTTTATTTTTTATTATTATTATACTTTAAGTTTTAGGGTACATGTGCGCAATGTGCAGGTTAGTTACATATGTATACATGTGCCATGCTGCTGTGCTGCACCCATTAACTTGTCATCTAGCATTAGGTATATCTCCTAAAGCTATCCCTCCCCACTCTCCCCACCCCACAACAGTCCCCAGAGTGTGATGTTCCCCTTCCTGTGTCCATGTGTTCTCATTGTTCAATTCCCATCTATGAGTGAGAATATGCAGTGTTGGGTTTTTTGTTCTTGTGATAGTTTACTGAGAATGATGATTTCCAATTTCATCCGTGTCCCTACAAAGGACATGAACTCATCATTTTTTATGGCTGCATAGTATTCCATGGTGTATATGTGCCACATTTTCTTAATCCAGTCTATCATTGATGGACATTTGGGTTGGTTCCAAGTCTTTGCTGTTGTGAATAATGCCGCAATAAACATACGTGTGCATGTGTCTTTATAGCAGCATGATTTACAGTCCTTTGGGTATATACCCAGTAATGGGATGGCTGGGTCAAGTGGTATTTGTAGTTCTAGATCCCTGAGGAATCGCCACACTGACTTCCACAATGGTTGAACTAGTTTACAGTTCCACCAACAGTGTAAAAGTGTTCCTATTTCTCCACATCCTCTCCAGCATCTGTTGTTTCCTGACTTTTTAATGATTGCCATTCTAACTGGTGTGAGATGGTATCTCATTGTGGTTTTGATTTGCATTTCTCTGATGGCCAGTGATGGTGAGCATTTTTTCATGTGTTTTTTGGCTGCATAAATGTCTTCGAGAAGTGTCTGTTCATGTCCTTCGCCCACTTTTTGATGGGGTTGTTTGGTTTTCTCTTGTAAATTTGTTTGAGTTCATTGTAGATTCTGGATATTAGCCCTTTGTCAGATGAGTAGGTTGCGAAAATTTTCTCCCATTTTGTAGGTTGCCTGTTCACTCTGATGGTAGTTTCTTTTGCTGTGCAGAAGCTCTTTAGTTTAATTAGATCCCATTTGTCAATTTTGGCTTTTGTTGCCATTGTTTTTGGTGTTTTAGACATGAAGTCCTTGCGCATGCCTATGTCCTGAATGGTAATGCCTAGGTTTTCTTCTAGGGTTTTTATGGTATTAGGTCTAACATTTAAGTCTTTAATCCATCTTGAATTGATTTTTGTATAAGGTGTAAGGAAGGGATCCAGTTTCAGCTTTCTACATGTGGCTAGCCAGTTTTCCCAGCACCATTTATTAAATAGGGAATCCTTTCCCCATTGCTTGTTTTTCTCAGATTTGTCAAAGATCAGATAGTTGTAGATATGCGGCATTATTTCTGAGGGCTCTGTTCTGTTCCATTGATCTATATCTGTGTTTTGGTACCAGTACCATGCTGTTTTGGTTACTGTAGCCTTGTAGTATAGTTTGAAGTCAGGTAGTGTGATGCCTCCAGCTTTGTTCTTTTGGCTTAGGATTGACTTGGCGATGCAGGCTCTTTTTTGGTTCCATATGAACTTTAAAGTAGTTTTTTCCAATTCTGTAAAGAAAGTCATTGGCAGCAATTTTAAAATCACTCTTGCTCCTAAATACTTAATGAAAACCACCAGACTTCCACTGGGCACAAATAATCTATTTAGGTCAGTGATATGTTTGTCCTAGTTTCTTTAAGTAAAAACATCATAGATACTAAAAGATATCTGCACATTATTGAATAACCTGGAGTAGATATAAATCTACTAGAGGTAAATATCCTTCACATGTCTTTTATTTTTAATATGAACTTGTATTTCCCTTGAGAGTTTCTCAGCCAAATAAGAGGAAAATAGACTATAGGTCAAGATTATCCATATTCTTTAGGAAGGCTCTTTAAGGCTTGGATGCTGTCTACATCTCCAGATTCATTAGTCCTCTCGTCACACTTCATGCTCCGCTTTCACTGATGACTGCCATTTTCTTATCTTTCTTTCCTTTTCCTTTTCTTTCTTCCTTTTTGTTTTGTTTTGTTTTGTTTTGTTTTTGGAGACAAGGTCTTGCTCTGTCACCCAGGCTAGAATGCAGTGTAGCAAACATAGTTAACTACATCCTCGAATTCCTGGGCTCAAGCCATCCTTCTACCTCAGCCTCCCAAGTAGCTGGGACTACAGGCATACAGCATCATGCCCAATTAACTTTAAAAAAAATTTCATAGAGACAGAGTCTTGCTATGTTGCACAGGCTGATCTCAAACTCCTGGCCTCAAGCAATCCTCCTGCCTCGGTGTCCCAAAGTGTTGGGAGTACAGGCATGAGCCACTGCACTTGGTCATGACTGCCATATTCTAATCACTTTCACCTTCAAGACCTTTGGAGATTTGGGTCCACCAGCTTGGGATGCCCTTCCTGTAACTCCATGGCAAAAGCCTCCTACTATTATAACATTGCCTCTTCCAAGTTGCCATCCCTGACACTCCTTCCCTACCTGACACCCCATTCCCACTGTCTCTCATTTTGGACCTGGTACTCCTCCTTTACATATCCTCAAGTATTAGCTTACATAGTAAGCATCTGTATATTTATCTCAATTTACTATTTTGTCTTAAGCTTCTTAATGCCAAAAACCATTTCTCCTTGCTTTAATACCCAGTGCCTGATAAAATACGCAATTTGTACCTATAGAATACATAGATTTTAAAAAATGAAGTTTTAGCTTCAACACTTCAGGATTTCAAACCTACATAAATATATTTTCTGTCTCACTGCCATGAATAAATCTTATAATCCTGAGGGTAATTATGCTAAATTACAACTTTTAGAGATGCATATTTATTAAAAGTCTTCCAAACTGTAAAAAGTTCAATAATCTGAAATTTGCTAATAAACAGTTGAAAACATGAAAAAATAATGCTGAATAAGTTTAATGAAACAATATGTCATCATAGCAACTTCAATTATTCATGAAAGATAAATGTAACAACATCATAACTGCTAATTTTATTTCTTTTTACTACAATGTTTTTATAACAGTTACCTTTAATCCCTTAGCAAACCTTGTATATATTTTTATAAATTTCCAAATTGGATAAAATAAACATCTTTTCTCAATTCTTATCTAATATTTCTCAATTCAGAAGTCATAGTCACTTTAATAATAATAGGTCTTAAAAATATGAAGGTTGAACTAGACCTATCCATTATCTAGGGGTCTTTATTACCATAAACGTTATTTTATTTTGAAAAAACAAATTTGTTACATAAGAGAAGTGTTTTTTAATTATAACTTTAATGCTATGTAAATAAACAAAAGATAAGATTAACTTGAAGACAATACTACTACACAAATGTATACAGACCCTATTAGAAATAAAACTCAGTTTGATCTCTTAGAAATTTACAATGGCAACCTGAAGAAACAGTACTTTTGTTCTTTAGCACCAGGATTTAACAAAAGGCTTCCAGAAAGTACAGTACTTTATTCAATGACCTCTCCAACTTTAGTAAACACAATCATTACCCTGAACAGAGTACCACATTATAGGAGGATCTATTCTAAATAAAATTAGAGTCAAATTTCTTATTTGATATGGTTGAAGAAGACATGAATTCTAGTTAAATGATTCATAATTTGGATATGGATCATTAATATGTTACCTACTTAAAGTTGGACTAAAAGTAAAATATATTACATAATTAAGACATTTTAAAAATTATTCTCTGGGTTCACTGGTTCATGCCTGTCAATCCCAACATTTCGGGAGGCTGAAGCAGGAGGATAAATTGAGCCCAGGGGTTGGAGACCAGCCTGAGCAACATAGGGAGAACCCATCTCTTAGAAAAAAAGAAAAAAAAATTAATTAACTAGGCATGGTGGCACACACCTGTTGTCCCAGCTACCTGGAAGGCTGAAGTGGGAGGATCACATGAGCCTTGGAGGTCAAGGCTGCAGTAAACCACAATAGCACCATTGCACTCCAGCCTGGGTGACAGAGCGAGACCCTGTCTCAAAAAACAAATACTCTTTCTTTTGTGATTCCAAATGCATACATTAACCAACAGCATAAAACAGTCCTGCAGGGTTTCAGAGCTGTATCATCTTGGAAGCTAACTACCATACACTTAAATAGGTCTATCTGTCTGTACAGGTAAAAGGAAAGCAAAATTGCCTTCGCTTTTCTTCTTTCTCATTGCTTTTCAAATATTTTCCTAGAATTTGGACACCCCTCATATTTTTTCATTATGAGTCAGAGCTAATGACATGACACCTGGTCTCATATATGAGATAATCCTAAGTATTTTTGTCTCTCTTAATTACTTTTTACGCACACATGCAGTTGGTTGGCACTTAAATGCAAGTACTACCACTTACTAAGACTATAAACTGGAACATCAATAATAATTATTTTATAGAGTTTTTTAAGAATGAGAAGATACTACATCACAAAGACACTAACACACTGCTTGGCACAGATTAGGTATAGAGCTCTGCCTTTTCTGAGGAAATATATTCAAACAAGAGGTACATGGTGGTGTAGCTCTTAGAATAGTTATGAAAATCATCTACCTAACAAAACATGTGTCCCAACCAGTCTATTAAAAATGACATAAAATAATACTGAAAAGACGTATATAATGTGAGATCAGTAGTCTGACCTCTTGTAATCAAAGTCCCTAAATTTATATTTTTATTGGCATTTGAAAACAAATTATCAATACTTGAAGTGTTTAGGGGAATGCTGCATAAGTTAAATCTGGTCCCAGCAAGATTCTTTCTCAGAAAAACATTCAGAAAATAACCTGGTAGAGCCTTAATGACCACACTAAAAAGAAAATCTTCCATTATACTTGGTGAAAATAAAAGAAGATCCCCAAAAAAACAACAGATATTTCCTAGGTAATAATTTTAACATTAAGAAAATGATGGCAGAAAATTAATAATATGTAAACATATCAAAGGACATTGATCATTTTTTACTAAAATAAGTAGGATATCAGCTTGAAGTAATTTCCCAGTCTTACCTAATTATATCATTTAACCCAGATTTAAACAGGGCTCACACTTGTGAGGATTCTTGCAGTCCAGGCTCTTTCTACTAGAAAGACCATGCTATCTACATCTCAACACTTTTTCAGTTTATCTCTAAATGCATTTCCAAAATGTTTTGCTGTTTCCCCTTAAATAAATGGGAAAATAATGGAGGCACTTTTAACAGCTAAATGACTCCCACAACAATGACGAAAGCCACTTCTGCCAGTAAGGTCAGTGAGGAGAATATGAGACACATTAAAAGGATGGCTAATCTGGACCAAGTGGATGATCAGTCACAGAAAAGAGAATGAGATTGTCAGCCTAAGGTAGAAAAAGCCAGAAATCACATAATTGATTAGATATGTTTAATTAACAATTTATTAAATTTGTATATAATTTAGCTATATTGAGTACACTAAGTTGTTCTCAACAAATAAACATAATAACCAAAACAAATAATTGCTTATATAAGAAATGTCAGTCTTTGGGTCACTCCTAAAAATGAATTGACACAAAACATGGTATATAAGCAAAGACAGACTGTCTCTGATTAGATTTGTATAAATCAATCCCCCAGATAAAAAGAGAAAGAGGGTGAGTGGTGTGCAAGTAGCATGACAATGGGAAAAGCTACAAAAGGGAAGAACACATTTGAAAGAAATTATTCTAGCAGGATTTAGGAAAGCAGATGAGTCGTTTGGATTAATTAATTAAGGGATGATGATATATATTTAGAAAGACATAAGTTACACATTTATATACGTAATCTTGATACTCAGCCAGATACAATCTTAGTTTTTAATGACCAGAAGAAACAGAGAGAAAAGAGAAATAGAGAAAGATGGGCTTTGGTCAGATTTAGAAAGAAGTTAGTGGTAAAAGAAGAAAGAAGTGTAAAAGCATATGACCCAGGCTTAAGTAAATAATAAGAGGCATATTTATGTTTAAATAATCTTACGGTTCCATGTACTAAGGTTTAGACACAGTGAATGCATAACTGTTAAGAATTCAGACTCTGATACAAGAACAGCTGGGTTTAAATTCAACCTGCTCCTGAATGACTACTGGGTACATAACGAAATGAAGGCAGAAATAAAGATGTTCTTTGAAACCAATGAGAACAAAGACACAACATACCAGAATCTCTGGGACACATTCAAAGCAGTGTGTAGAGGGAAATTTATAGCACTAAATGCCCACAAGAGGAAGCAGGAAAGATCCAAAATTGACACCCTAACATCACAATTAAAAGAACCAGAAAAGCAAGAGCAAACACATTCAAAAGCTAGCAGAAGGCAAGAAATAACTAAAATCAGAGCAGAACTGAAGGAAATAGAGACACAAAAAACCCTTCAAAAAATTAATGAATCCAGGAGCTGGTTTTTTGAAAGGATCAACAAAATTGATAGACCACTAGCAAGACTAATAAAGAAGAAAAGAGAGAAGAATCAAATAGACGCAAGAAAAAATGATAAAGGGGATATCACCACCGATCCCACAGAAATACAAACTAACATCAGATAATACTACAAACACCCCTACATAAATAAACTAGAAAATCTAGAAGAAATGGATAAATTCCTCGACACATACACCCTCCCAAGACTAAACCAGGAAGAAGTTGAATCTCTGAATAGACCAATAACAGGAGCTGAAATTGTGGCAATAATCAATAGCTTACCAACCAAAAAGAGTCCAGGACCAGATGGATTCACAGTGGAATTCTACCAGAGGTACAAGGAGGAACTGGTACCATTCCTCCTGAAACTATTCCAATCAATAGAAAAGAGGGGATCCTCCCTAACTCATTTTATGAGGCCAGCATCATCCTGACACCAAAGCCTGGCAGAGACACAACCAAAAAAGAGAATTTTAGACCAATATCCTTGATGAACATTGATACAAAAATCCTCAATAAAATACTGGCAAACCGAATCCAGCAGCACATCAAAAAGCTTATCCACCATGATCAAGTGGGCTTCATTCCTGGGATGCAAGGCTGGTTCAATATACGCAAATCAATAAATGTAATCCAGCATATAAACAGAACCAAAGACAAAAACCACATGATTTTCTCAATAGATGCAGAAAAGGCCTTTGACAAAATTCAACAACCCTTCATGCTAAAAACTCTCAATAAATTAGGTGTTGATGGGATGTATCTCAAAATAATAAGAGCTATCTATGACAAACCCACAGCCAATATCATACTGAATGGGCAAAAACTGGAAGCATTCCCTTTGAAAACTGGCACAAGACAGGGATGCCCTCTCTCACGACTCCTATTCAACATAGTGTTGGAAGTTCTGGCCAGGGCAATCAGGCAGGAGAAGGAAATAAAGGGCATTCAATTAGGAAAAGAGGAAGTCAAACTGTCCCTGTTTGCAGATGACATGATTATATATCTAGAAAACCCCACTGTCTCAGCCCAAAATCTCCTTAAGCTGATAAGCAACTTCAGCAAAGTCTCAGGATATAAAATCAATGTACAAAAATCACAAGCATTCTTATACACCAATAACAGACAAACAGAGAGCCAAATCATGAGTGAACTCCCATTCACAATTGCTTCAAAGAGAATAAAATACCTAGGAATCCAACTTACAAGGGATGTGAAGGACCTCTTCAAGGAGAACTACAAACTACTTCTCAATGAAATAAAAGAGGATACAAACAAATGGAAGAACATTCCATGCTCATGGGTAGGAAGAATCAATATTGTGAAAATGGCCATACTGCCCAAGGTAATTTATAGATCCAATGCCATCCCCATCAAGCTACCACTGACTTTCTTCACAGAATTGGAAAAAACTACTTTAAAGTTCATATGGAAACAAAAAAGAGCCCACATTGCCAAGTCAATCCTAAGCCAAAAGAACAAAGCTGGAAGCATCACGCTACCTGACTTCAAACTATACTACAAGGCTACAGTAACCAAAACAGCATGGTACTGGTACCAAAACACAGATATAGATCAATGGAACAGAACAGAGCCCTCAGAAATAATGCCGCATATCTACAACTATCTGATCTTTGACAAATCTGAGGAAAACAAGCAATGGGGAAATGATTCCCTATTTAATAAATGGTGCTGGGGAAACTGGGTAGCCATATGTAGAAAGCTGAAACTGGATGCCTTCCTTACACCTTATACAAAAATTAATCCAAGATGGATTAAAGACTTAAACGTTAGACCTAAAACCATAAAAACCCTAGAAGAAAACCTAGGCATTACCATTCAGGACATAGGCATGGGCAAGGACTTCATGTCTAAAGCACCAAAAGCAATGGCAACAAAAGCCAAAATTGACAAATGGGGTCTAATTAAACTAAAGAGCTTCTGCACAGCAAAAGAAGCCACCATCAGAGTGAACCGGCAACCTACAGAATAGGAGAAAATTTTTGCATCCTACTCATCTGGCAAAGGGCTAATATCCAGAATCTACAACTCAAACAAATTTACAAGAAAAAAAACAACCCCATCAAAAAGTGGGCAAAGGATATGAACAGACACTTCTCATTTTTAAAACCGTCTGTTACAAATAATTTCAAAATATTTGACCACATTGATCACTTTGACTGCACATGACTGAATAATTGTTCACTGTCAACAAAATAGTTTAGTCAGGGAGCAAAGAACTGACAATATTATGAACATTCAAAGACTGTCTCAGAGTCTGAACATGATTTCCAAAAGCTGAATTTGATAAATTTGTTGAGCGGTGGCAATGTCAGTATAACAAAAATACAACTTTAAAGAGGATAGCACACATCTTAAAATATATGTTTATTAGTAAAGAGCAGTTGTTTTTTTTTATAATTATATCTTCCATTGGAGAATTGGCTTGATTTTAAAACACTGATTTCAAAAAAAATGTCATCACAGGTCCAGGATAGATTTCCTAGAAGCAGAGCCTGAGTAAGGAATTCTTGTTCAAACATGAGAAGCTGATTAAAGAAAGAAAGTCTAATAAGATGGGGACACTGGGGATATGTGGATAAGAAGCTAAGCCAGGATGTGGTCAAAACTGGACACTAGCTTCAGACTGATCCCATGGGAAAGCTCTGGAGCACTAATTGATACATTAAGACAGGGGCTGGTCTTTGGTATCCTATGCCAGTCAGATAATTAATATCTGGAATATATAAAGAACTATAAATCAATAAGAAAAAGAATCTAAAATCAAAAATAAGTGAGCAAAGAATAAGAACAAGTAATTCCTGAAAGAAGAAATACAAATCACCAATGAATATATATTTAAAATACTCAAACTCATTAGTAATCGGGGAAATAGAAAGAACTCCTATGAGCCAGTAAGAAACAGAAAACACAAAGAATAAAAGGGAGCAAAGAATAGTAACAGGAAATTTATAGAAAAGGAAATATAAATCACTAATCAACATTACGAGCAGATATTCAACTCCATTATCAACCAGAAATAAATACAATATTTTTCATTTATAACTTTTTAAAACTTAATAATATCAGGTTTGGTGAAAAAGTAGTATATATGGACAGACATTTACAAAGAAATCCAAATTGTTAAAGTCATTTAAAAATTAAAATTATTTATCAAAGTATAAAATGAAAAAATAATTCTACTTCTCAGCATTTACCCTAGAATAATACTCACAGATCTGCTCAAAGAAGCATGTACAGGGATACTCAGGCTTATTGTAGTGAAAATATAAAATAATATAAATGTTCATTAATATGAGAATTTTTAAAATTCTAAAAATGGTCTATTTATTCCACAGCATAATATATAAGAGCTAAACATATAAGGTCAAAGATATGAACAAACAAAGGAAAAATTTCCAAGGCATTGTGTTAATAAAATCAAATTGGTAAGTGATATACTATTCGGAATACATTTTATGTCAATTCAAAATTTATTATCAAATAGTATGTATAATATTAAATACTCTGCAGAATCATATGTGTGTATGATTTTTTTTCTTCCTGAAAAAAATCTTGAAGGATGTACTTCAAAGCATTAACAGTGATTACCCTTAAAGAGGGCCTTTGAATTGAGGTTGTCGTCAACGGGGACATGGTGTTATATGTAATACGATGCTTCAACAATCAGAATGAATTCATGAATTACTTTTATATTTAAGACTTTAAAAATCAAAATAAGGGAGTATGAGATATATAGCCTATTTAAAAACTACAAAATATGGAAGGATATAGAAATACGCATGTAAATGTCTTAAAAGCAACTTGGAAGATACACAAAAATTATTAACAGTGGTTTCCACTGGGAAGGAATAGGAGATTGGACATATCAGAAAATGCCTTTTCTAAAAATAATTTCACCAAGTTCGACAAAATACAAACATCAATTCCTAGTGTTTTAATAACTGCTTCAATTTTTATAGTTTAATATAAAATATTTAAATAAATAAAACATATGGAAGTGCTAAGAATCCTTAAAATAATATAAAGACTTTGTATTTTTTTTCCTTTTTATGGAGAACGGGGTCTCGCTATATTGCCCAGGCAGGTCTCAAATCCTAGGCTCAAGCTATCCTCCTGCCTCTGCCTCCCTAAGAGCTGGGATTACAGGCATGAGCCACTGCGCCCGGCAAGACTATTTTTTATTAAACTACATTTTAATAGTAAAATTTATACTTTATATAGATTTTCAATCCAAGTGGTATCTGTTTATAAATTGGGATCAACTTTTGTAACAGCTCGGATTCTATCTGGTTTCACTATTGCAAGCTATTTCCTGCCTCTTAGAAAAAAAGTCAATTTATTTTAACAACACAATAATTCATCTAAAATGGCAGTGAGCCATAAGACACAAATAATTCACTCCAGGTTTTTCACAATCTTTTTAATGTTTAATATTTCCATATTACAAACAATAAACCACAATAGATTTTTGTATGTTGGTTAATAAATTTAAGTAATATGATGATTTAGAAGTATGTAGCATTATGACTTTTTCTCATTAATAACAAATTGATGCCATTATACCTCTTCCTTTCAAAGCTAGTTTGTCAGTTTATATTTTACTTATTTTTAAGTAAACTATATATCTGAGATGCATGTTCTTTTGAGACATCTATAATGGTTCGTTTGTTTACTGTATATTAAAATGACTGGATTTGCCTTAAATTTTTTATTTTCTTTAAATTTTTTATTTTCTTAAATTTAAAAAATCTTTGAAAAGATCTTTAAAAAATCTTCTTAAATTTTTTATTTTCTTTTTTTATTTTATAAAATAAAAATAAGTTTATAATAAATAACCTGCAGTTTCATTTACATAGCAGCAGAGGGTGCAGGAGATCTTCCTTTTTGACGGTAAAGTTAATTTTTTATTCTAACTCTTATTGGGCATTTAATTATTAAAAATATCACAAAATCCTTAAAGTATATTAACAAATTAAATCTTTTTAAAACAATTAGTATCTGATAAAAATAAATTGCCTTTTAGATCAAAGAAAAACTCGATTCAACTTGAAAGCTTGAAACAACAGAATAATAAAAATCAGAGTTTCTAAAGTTTTTCTCTTATAAATATGTATAGGATCTATATTTTTAAAGGGATTCACACTCATATATATATCAATTCAAATTTATTTTTCATTTTTCTGATAGTTTCTTGTTGTTTTTGAAACATCATGAACATATGTCTAAAATAAAACTGTACTGCTTTGTAGAAAACATATTAGTGTAAAAGATGTATAAAGATGGTAACATTTTATTCTGATTATAAATTTTAGGTATCACTTTATTTTTTATTGTATTAAACATACTCCATACAGCAGCTAATAGTAACAGATACGAACGTAAAGAAGAAAATGAAAAAACTATCTTATATCAACATAGGATGAATACCAAAGTCTGAGAAAAAGAATTTTAAAGTACTAATCGGAATACATGTTAGGATAGTAAATTAAAAGGTGGCTACATTGGACATTTATAATTATTTCTGTGTCTGTGTGTGTAGAGTCAGTAATACAGATACCTGACAATAAAAATCAGTATAGGCAGTAATATGGAATCCAACATTTTCAGTGCATGTTCTAGTTCAAACACAAATGTTAGATCAATAGAACTGAAAGTCAGCATTGGTCTGGTGAAAGGAAAAAAAAAATATGAGTATATCCACAAACAATTGCAGCTTTTTTTTTAAGTAAGTGCTGTTATAGGTGTCTCCTATATAATGCTGACTGCAGCATGTTAAGGAATATGCTGATTTCCATTCAGTCATGTATTGGCATTGTGTACTAATTCTGTTACAATCATGTGAAAAACAGAATCTTGGGTTTGGCTTTTTTAAAAGAGCTGTCTTTGAACTCAACATATAATGATCACATTCATTAATAACACTTTCACAATATATTTGTGGATATAATTTCTCTTGGGTTCTGTTTCTCTATTATTAAGATTAGACAACTGATTAGATGAATTATGTGAGCCCCTCTGATTTATTAAAACATATGCATGCAGTCTGTGAAATTTAGTACACATACAAATATACATACACACATATATACTCATATATATCTGAATATCATTTTTTCTAGTTCAAAGTTAACAACAAACTAGAATCAATATTCCATAGATATGAAGGGAAAAATAATGTGTTATAAGCCATTACCACTAACACATAAATGTAGTGTGTTACAGAAAAAGAGAGGAAAAAAAGAGCAAAATGATAGTAAAGACAGTCAAAGTATGTCTGGTATATGATAAAATTAGAAATGTGATGACAAGTTTGCCTTCCTCTTTTACTTTAATTGCTAATGTAATCAATGGGCTTAACCAAATCATATACCTATTTTCTTACATTTCTGCTATTACTTAATGTTTTGGTTTGTAATTCATGAGTTAGAACAGGGATATAGGTTTTAGAACCAAGGAAGTATGTCTGATAATTAACATATTTACATAATATAACATTCTAATAGAGTGTCAGATTGAAATTGTTTCAAGTTATGGAGAAATAAGTTTTAAATTGGTGGCAATGTTAAATATTATACCAATAATTAACAAATTCACCTAAATTCATAAATTTTATTTCAAAGTAGACTTTACTAAATATATTAAAGCATATTGCCTATATTGTTCTTTGACTTTAAAAGTTTTTTTAAAAGGAGTTACATAATGAAGATTATAATAAAGGAGATACAACAAATTTAGCTCATTTCTTTCCTTTCTTAAGAAAACCCTTTAAACTTTGTTAATAAATTCAGTAAATTGTCTTCTTTGAGACTATGGGACTGCATCAAATATCACTATCAGGAATGACTAAACTATATTGGGTTTATACTAATATATTGCTAATTTGACAGAATAATAGGTAAGAAAGCATTCATGAGAAAAGGACTTGTGTTTATGGCACAAGGGCCTTTTCAGCTGTGCCCAGTAGCAAGGGTGATGTGACCGACTTGAGTGGCCACTAAGTGGGGATTTTGCATCTTGGAACATTTAGGTAGTTCTGCCTTGGCGACCAACTATTGTATTGAATTTTATATTTGGAAAATGAACTTGTTTTTTGAGGATAATAAATGGAAACCTAAACTAGTTAAGTACTTCACTCAGAAACATGCAAATAGTAGCTGCACTAACATTTATAGAACACAGTATTCCTGATAATAGAATTAAATCTAATCCAATCAAATAAAAGCAGAGACTCTCACTGCCAGAGATATGTCCTTATTTCAATCAAGTAAAAACACTCTTGCTCTGTAAGCACCTGATATCTCTTGTAATTGAATATTGTTTTATTTTTTATGACTTTGAAATAAAAATTATTTTTAAGGAATATAATTATTCCTATCAGATAAATAAATTTGGGTTCAGAAAAGTAAAGGCAAATCTAAATTTTAATCTAGATCTTGCTGATGCTAAAGACAAATTCGGAAATTATAACAATGATGAATGCACAAGAAAGATATCCTGATATTACATATACAACAGTAACAATAACATCATATAATATTGCAAAATAATATTCTGAATGCTATTGCTGCTCTAGGAATGTTTCATTGGAAGTGGCTTAGTATTCCAAATTAGTATTCCAATGACAGATCCACTGTTAGGTAATCAAGAAAAGTTTTAAGCGACTTTCCAATCACTATAGTTCACAGGAAATACAGAAAATATTAATTCCACAAGGGAAAAAAATGCAGCCACTAGCAACAATTTCAACAAAAAACAAGCGAGCGAGAGAGAGAGAGACAGTTGTACCGTCCTACAGATTTCCTCAGGCTAACAGTTGCATATTCAGAATTGAATACTAAACAAGTACTTATGTAGGATCTGAGAACATTTTGTGATTCAAAATAAAATATTCAAAGAAAGAAACAGACATCCTAGCTTAGACAGAGTGGAGAAAGAATATCATACAACAAACATAAGGGTACCCAGAAACTGGAAGGAAAACCTAAAAGAGACCCTATTTGCTTTGTTTGTAGAAAAACCACATACTGGCATTGGAATCCTATGTATATATTTCCTAGCATATAGTATACACTATATATAAATGTTCGGTAATATAAAAAATAATTACTGATGAGGGTCAATGTTGCTCAAAACATTATTTTAACTTTCTTCTGCACATCTTAGTATAGCATTCTGGTTTGGTCCTGTATAATATATGGGTTAACATTCCAGACTACAGTTAATGGTAATGGAATATACATTTCAAAATAGCTAGAAGAGAATAATTCAAATGTACCAGGAGTTAAAAATAAAGATAAATATTTAAGATAATGAGTATTCCAATTACCCAGATTTGATTATATAAATATATCCAATATCACATGTACCCTAAAAATATGTATACCTAATGTGTATTAATAAAAAATTCTGGAGACATATTATCTAGGTTTGGATTTTGGTTTCTGCTCTCACTAACTTTGGGCAATCTACAGTATTTTAATCTCCCTTTGAGCTTCAATTTCACAATGTGTGAAATTGAGTCATACATAGCACCTACCATAAGAAATTTAACTATTATAAGGACTAAAGAAGTTGAGGGCTTAGACCTCTGCTCAACATAAAGGGAAGCAAAGGATAAATGTCATTATTTTTATTACAAAATTAGGTAAAGTGTTTTAACCTTTTTAATTTAGTCAAGAGTTTAAGACATCAAATTCTTGACTGAATACTGTGAAAAACTACTGAATCAGCACCCTCTACAGAACTGTGTTTTCTTAATAAACTTATTTGCATCTATGTGAGCTACAAATTAAGATTGTACAAATTTGAATAAAGAGATACTATCCCTGTAAAATTTATTAGGGTAAAGGAGTGTACAGATACTCTGGAAATGAGGAAAGATAGTGGTCTCTTATATTCCATGTGAAAGATGAACTCTCTTTTTCACTTTCTTCTATATCAAGTGTACTTTATACAGAGATATTTTGAACAATTTGATGTTGCTCACATTGTCTAGCACAATAATTTCAAATTATCTTTTTACTAAAATAACTTTGAAAATCTACATAATCTCTAGAAGACCTAAAAGTTAACCATTAACAAATTTCCTATAAGGTAAAAGGACATATTTTTCTGACTGTTATATGCTCTAAGTGGGCTTAAAATATATTTTCATCAATACTGTCAAGCCACATATTTAGCTTATTTGATTTAAGAAAAATATATGCAAATGTGTGTCACAATGCACTTGGCAAAGCAATCCTCTTTGTCAAACAAATCATCCAGTCAAAATTCTTCTTCAGAAGAAAGCATCAAGTAAACCTGTTAATACCCCACAGCAACATTCTTACTTTCTCACTTCTGGAATCCAAAGGGAGAGAGGAGGAGAGGAGGAAGGAAAGGGGAGAATGGCTCACCAGAATATTGCCTCTAGGAAACAGGGCACTGCACCTTCCAATATTTATTTAGGAAGCCCTCAAAAGACTCCCTGAGTAATTTATCCCTTGGTTGATACACTAGAGGTTTTTAGAAACTGAACAATGCATCCTAAACAGATTCACAAGTGAATCTGAATTCATAAATTTGCTTGTTTTTTTGTAAAGTGGGAGATTGTGAAAGAAACATGAGGAAGATGACTGACAAAACTCAGAAGCTTCTCAAACAAGTAATTTGTATGGAAAATCACAAATAAAAATTGAGAATTGAGAAATTAGTTATCTAAAAGGTATCCATGCCTATGTAGGGCAGGGGTGTCCTTTACACCCTGATTATTATACTACAGTCTGAATACCACTCTTCTAGCACAAAATACTAAGTGAATTCTCAAATAATTCAAAAACAGGAAACATATTCTCCTCCAGGCACAGAGGATTCAGAAGGGAATTAGAGGGGCTAGTCCCTTTTCTGGAGGAGTATCTACTCCAATGAGGGAGACAGAATATAAACAAAACAAATAAGCATATTAGATGATCTTTAACAGTGATGTATGTCTTACAAAAATAATTACTGTAATGAGATAAATAATGAAGAAGACAAGTATGGAGGTGGTGATATTTGAGCTGAATGAAGAAGAGTGAGAAGAACACTTCCAGCAGAGGCAGAATCAAGTGCAAACTCCCTGGGGCAGGCCTGATCATTCCAAGTAGCAGTGTGAGTAAAGGGAATAACTATTTGAGATGAAGTGTCAGGAACTTAGAGGTCCAGATCCTTGTAGGGAGCTAAATTAAGAGAGATAGCCTCTTTGTACAGGATTGATTGCCAAAACTAGCCACCCAGTTAGGATTCTATTGCAATAATCCAAAGGAGAGATAACGACATTCTCGCTTAAATAGCATGGTACAGATAAACAAGATAACAAACTTGGTAATCTTGTGGGTAACACTAGTAATAATTGTTTATTGATAGAGGGATGAGAGAAAGAAAAGAATAAAAAAATGCCCAGGGTTTTTTTTGTTGTTGTTCAGTTGGTTTTTGTTTGTTTAAAGTTGTTGGTTTGTTGTTTTGCTATTTGTTTTAACTGGGAGAAGAAATACTACTCAAAATCACAATCACAATGGAAAAGTCAGGATGGAATAGAAAAATGAAACATAAATACATAAAGTTTCAAATTAGATTAAATATTTACTTGTAAGTAATTTCTTTTTCATATTTAAAGCAAAATGTTCCTAAAATAGACTCTTTAAAAATAAATTCATTTCTAATATCAAAGTTGGAAATTTTGGGGGACATGAAGAATATAAAAAATGGAAAACGTCTAATCTCATGAATCTACTATGTTAGTTTATTTTTAAATGCAGGAATCCTTTACATGGCATTATGTTGAATGAAACATGTTCTTATCAGAACTATGTCCTCATCTTGAATGGCTTTGTGAAAACTCTGATGAGACTCATGTAACATGGAAATAATGCAGAACAGTGAGGAGTCACCGAGATAAAGTGCCTATGCAATGTTGTATCCTGCTAAAGAATTTCATACATATTATCAACTCTTCATGAAAGTTTTAACAGATAGGATTTCTTAAAAGGAGTTACCACAAATTACTTAAGGTTTCTCCTATTATAAAACATGTAGGTAGTTTCAATCATTGGCTATTTAAAATAGCAATATTTACTATATCACTATAAAGTAACTTATACATTTTACTTCTAAATAATAATTTTATAGCATTAAATGCTTCTGATTTTGGCTGACCCTATTTTGTAGGGTTTTTTTTTAATTATTAATGTAAGAACCCAAGGTGATGCTTTTTTGAATTTCAGATCAATGATTCTATTGCTTCTTTTAGGAGCAGTAGCAAAGTCCTATGTGTAAATCGCTTCTTGGAAAAAAGTAAAGCAGTCATAAAACCTAAAAACTCATTCATACCACCAGGGTACCATTTAGTAAATTACCACCACAACACACTCTGGCTGCAGCAACCTGAGGCAAATGTGTCTAATCACACTACATTATTTTTCTTCAAAATGTCTCTCTCCATTCTGCAATGATTAATTCACTTGAGGCCATGCAGACAGAGAAAGAACACCTCTTTGTAGCAGTTTAAGAAATCAAGTCATGAAGACAGGCCACAGGGTGAAGTTTCCAAAGAACAGTGATATTTCCAAAGAATGTAAAATCTGTTTATAAGTTAATGACTTAACAAACTTTATTAAAATTCTACTACTACATGGGAGATCTGCATTAGGCATAAAGGAAAATGCAAAATAAATATAGAATGTTAAGTGTATGAATTTTTCTAAGCCAACACTAGCCCTGTCCAAGACTGAGAAAATGTATCTGTTACAAATGTTCAGTAAAATTAAATTATTTAAAGCTTCAAAATTTCACTTTGCATAAGAAATCACATTTTAAGTTGTGAGTCAAGTCATTTTTTTATTTATGTTATATTAACCTTTATGAAAAATAATTTTTATAAAAAAGCATCCCCATCAATAAACTGTGTAAGTGGCACAAACTATCCAAATAATTCTATAAAATTTTTAATGAACTAAACTGTTCTTCTGCTTTATTGAAATTGTCACCTTATGTGAAATCATAGTCTGCTTCACTTTCTTTTACAAACAATAAAATTGCAAAATATTTCTAAAATGTATACAATAACAGGTAGTGAAAGAGAAACAGTACTAGGAAGTCTCCCAATGAAAAAAAGCCCAGGACCTGATAGCTTTACTGCTAACTTCTACCAAACATTTAAAGAAGAACAAATATAAACTGTTTAAACTATTCCAAAAAAGTTGAGGAGGAGAGGCTATTTCCAAACTCATTCCATGGGGCCAGTATTACCCCAATACCAAAACCAGACAATGACATGACAAAAAAAGAAAAATGCAGGCCGATATCTCTAGTGAACATAGATACAGAAATCCTCAAGAAAATACTGGCAAACTGAATTTCAGAACACATTAAATAGATCATTCATCATGATCAAGTGGGATTCATCTCAGGAATGCAAGGATGCTTCAATATACTCAACTCAATAAAGGCAATAAATCACATCAACAGAATGAAGGACAAAAACACATGATCATTTCAATAAGTGCCAAAAAAATCATTTAATATAATTCAACATCCCTTCATGATAAAAGCTCTCAACAGTGTGAAAGGAACATACCTCAACATGATAAAAGGCCATATATGACAAATCCACAACTAGCTATGTATTAAATGGGAAAAAACTAAAAGCCCTTCCTCTATAATATAGAAAAGACAAGGATGTATGCTTTCATCACTTTTATTAAATATAGTACTGGAAACCCTAGCCAGAGCAATTAGACAAGCTGAATAAATAAAGGGCAACCATATTGGAAAGGAAGAAGTCAACTTATCTTTGATTGCAGATAATATGATCTTATATTTAGAAAAACTGAAAGACTTAACCAGAAAACTATTATAACTCACAGACAAATTCAGTAAAGTTACAGGATACAAAAACAACATACAAAAATCAGTACCATTTCTATTCACCAACAGTGAACAATTTGAAAAAGAAACTAAGAAAGTAATCCCATTTACAATAACTAGAAGTAAAATTAAATACCTACAAGTAAACTTTACAAGTGAAAGATATCTACAATGGAAACTATAAAACATTGATGAAAGAAATTGAAGAAGATATGCACAAAATGGAAAGATATTCCATGTTCATGAATTAGAAGAATCAATATTGTTAAAATGCCCATATTACTTGAAGAATTCTACAGATTCAAGGCAATCTGTATCAAAACACCAATGACATTCTTCACAAAAATAGAAAAAAATTAAAATTTATATTGAACCACAAACAACCCAGAATAGCCAAAGCAATTCTGAGCAAAGAGAACAAAACTGGAGCAATTGCATTACCTGACTTCAAATTAATAACTTTGAAACAAGAGCTACAATAACCCCCAAAACAGCATGATACTAGCATAAAAACAAACATGTAGACCAATTGAACAGAATAGAGAACCCAGAAACAAATCCATACATCTAGAGTAAACTCATTTTTGACAAAGTTGCCAAGGATATACCTTGGGGAAAGGACAGTCTGTCTCTTCAATAAATGGTGCTGGGAAAACTGGATATCCATATGCAGAAGAATAAAACTAGACCCATATCTCTCTCCATATACAAAAATCAACTCAAGGCCAGGCACAGTGGCTCATGCCTGTAATCCCAGCATTTTGGGAGGCCAAGGTGGGCAGATTGCTTGAGCTCAGCAGTTCAAGACCAGCCTGGCAACATGGAAAAACCCTGTCTCTATGAAAAATACAAAAATTAGGCAGGCATGGTGGCACATGCCTGTGGTCCCAGCTACTCCAGAAGCTAAGATGGGAGGATGGCTTAAGCCCAGGAGGCTGAGGTTGCAGTGAGCCATGATTGCACCACTGTACTCCAGCCTAAGTGACAGAACAAGCCCCTGTCTCAAAAAAAAAAAAAAAAATCAATTCAAAGTAGACTGAAGACAAACCTAATACCTGAAACTATAAAACTACTAAAATAAAACATTGGGGAAACAATCCAGGACATGTGTCTGGGCAAATATTTCTTGAGTAAGATCACAAAAGCACTGGCAAATAAAGCAAAAATGTACAAAAGATATCACGTCAACTAAAAAAGCTTGCTTGTGCATAGCAAAGAAAATAATCAACAAAGTGAAGGGACAACCCACATAGTGGGAGAATATATTTGCAAACTACCCATATGACAAGGGACTAATAATCAGAATACATAAGGAACTCAAATAAATCAATAGCAAAAATGTAATAAGAAAAATAATACAATAAAAATCAGCAAATGAACAGACATTTCTCAGAAAAAGACATTAAAATGGCCTACTGGTATATGAAAATTGCTCAACATCACTAATAAGAGAAATGCAAATCAAAAATACAATGAGATATCATCTCATCCCAGTTAAAATGGTTTTTATCCTAAAGACAGGAAATAACTGATGCTGGTGAGGATGTGGAGAAAGGGGAACCCTTATACACAGTGGGAATGTAAATTAATATAGCTACTGTGGAGAATATTATGGAGGTTTCTCAAAAAACTAAAAAAAGAGCTACCATGTGACCCAGCAATCCCACTGCTGGGTGTACATCCAAAAGAAAGGAAATCAATACAACGAAAAGAGATATACATTTCCATGCTTACTGCAGCCCTATTCACAAGAGCCAAGATATGGAATCAACCTAAGTGTCCATCAACATATGAATGGATAGAGAAAATGTGATCCATATACACAATGGAATATTATTCAACCATAAGGAGGCAGAGATAAAGAGGGATTGCTCGATGAGTACAAAAATGCAGTTAGATATAAGGAATAAGATCTAATGTTCAATAGCACAATAAGGTGACTACAGTTAAAAACATTTTATTGTATATTTTAAAATTACTAGAAGAGTGGAACTGTAATGTTCTTAACATGAAATGATAGATCTTTAATATTATGGATATCCTAATTATCCTGATATTTTTCCAATTATCCTGATTTGATCATTGCATGCTATATGCTTGTATCAAAATATCACATGTACCCCATAAATATGTGCAACTGTTAGGTATCCATAACAATTTAAAAACATGTATAATAAAAATACAAATAAAAAATAAAATATACTTAACTTGAATATTATAAATTCTATTTAATAGAATACTTAGTGGTATACAATGCCACATAATCATTCAAAATGGTGCATGGGATCGGGGATGGTGTTAAATCACAAAATACCATGAAATATTAGCGTTTCTATTAGAAATATGAATAACCAAGGAGTTTGCTTAACATATAATGTAACTAGAAAAACATGTTATCACTAGATAACGGTCCCCCTCTGTTTCATGTAGTAGATTGCAAGGAAGAAATATACTGGAAATAAATATTCAGGTAAAGCAAAGCCGTTTATTTTCAAAGCATGAGAAAGCAACCTTCCATTAATGCAGTATCACAATCATTTTGTTTCCTTATACCAAATGCTTTGATGTGACTTTGATCACTTAGTACTCACCTATCCCTTTACCCTGGATAGAAAACTCTCATCAGCATCAAACGGATCTAAGAGTAGATTGAACAGAGTAATGGACCTTAATCTGACTCTTGTGAAATACAGTGACCAATAAAGGTCCTCCATAAATGATGCAACTCCTTTAAAGAGTCTTAACCAAAAAGCTCATAAGGATTGCAGCCTCTATAGTAACCTAATGAGGACAGGTATATGTATATGACTTTCTTTAACCAATAGTATTCAGTGATTTGTAACCAAAGTCTGCTGGTACAGTAATTTGGGTAAGATGAGATGAGCAGCATCTGAAACATCAATTATTTCAATGTATATAAGCCTCAAGTTTAGTTCTATATTTATACTTACATTTATTTAACCACTCAAAATGCTCTAGAAACAGTGTCAACAAGTTAAAAGTTCATTCATGTTCTAGATTGCATTATAGAAATTAACAGCAACAATAACAATAATATATGTATACATATATAAATATATACATAAATATATATAATTTAACTTGATTCACAGATGGATTAGATACTTTCTATATCACTTTTACTTAACACTTGCTAAGAAATATGGATACGCCAAACAGTGCTTTTATCATAAAAAGAAATAACATGGTATATGATGTGTATTAATATAAAATGATAACCCATTTATAAACCAAGTGCAGTTAAAAATGCTTTTAGTCAAATTGGAGTAAAAGCTTTATAACAAAATATCAACAACTAAAAAGCACTCAAACATATTTATTCAAGTTTAATTGGTATGCAGATGCAATTAAGCTGATTCAGGAAGTATAAAACCAAGATACCATATGGTTCTTAGTTCTCCAAAATTGCAGACATAAATGTAGATTTCACATGCTGGTATCTGAGTACAGCGCTATTGATAACAGAATGCTTTGCTCAGTCATCCTTAGTGCCTTTTTGAAAATTCAGTTTAGAAAATATAGTGTTTTTATCCCATCACAATGTGTGAGAGTGAAATGCAGCCAAATAGGCAAGTCAATCACGGGTATTCCCATGGTGACTCAAGTTGGATTTTTATTCATTGAATAAATAAACTAATGCTGTCTTAGTTAACACAATTTTGCTCATGTTCAAGTCTGAAAGTCCAGGATAATAAAGTAATTGCAAATGTAAATGAGTACAAAATCTATAGATATCTTTTTAAAGTACTGGTTACTAATTACGGTTTTCAGACTTTCCAACACCATAAAGAAAAAGCTAATACAGATAAAAATAGACTTGAGAATGGCAGTAATTCATTCCTATGAATCACTTTACTACATATGGTAATAGTTTCACCTTTATTTTCTTATTAAGCAATGAACAAAGAACGTCACCTGGGCCTGGACAGGCTGGGAAACTATATAACTCAAATCCACACTCTTTACAGAATATATAAAATATGGAAAAAATTATTTTTTTAACTTTTATTTTAGCTTCAGGGGTACATGTGCACCTTGACTTTATAGATAAACTGCATGTCATGGGGGTTTGCTGTACATATTATTTCATCACCCAGGTAATAAGCATAGTTCCCAATAGGTAGTTTTTCAATCCTTGCCTTTCCTGGCAACATGGAAAAACCCTGTCCCTACGAAAAACCCTGTCCTACCCTCCATCTTTAAATAGGCCCCAATGTCTGTTGTTTCTTTCTTTGTGTGCATGTGTACTCAGTGTTTAGCTCCCACATATAAGTGAGATCACGTGGCGTTTAGTTTTCTATTCTTGCATTAGTTCTCTTAGGATAATGGCCTCCAGCTCCATCCCTATTGCTGCAAAGGACATTATCTCATTCTTTTTTATGGCTAAGAAATTCTTAACATCCACACTACAACAAGGCTAGATTTGTCTAGTAACCAAAATGAGACCATTGTGTTTAAAATACTTTTGAAGTTGGAAAATAGTATGGATGTATGAAAATGTCAGTATGATTTCAAATGTTTTTGGCCTATTTAATTTCAAATAACTTTATATATGAATTAACATTGGGCTGTGTAATGTGACCACGTGATTTACAAGGCAAAAGGAATGGAACTACTAAAATAATAATCTAAGCTGAAATACGACTCTATTATTGGAAGTGTTCCAATGGTTCTTTAACCAATGTGATAAAATATTTAGATTAAAGACCTTCTCCTCCTCAAGTGTCAGCACATTCTGGGCTTTCTTATTCTAATTTTTTAAACTGACAAGGAAACACTCTGGCAACTCTCACTGAAAGAGGAGAGTTGGAGAATTTATATGCATGTATAATCAAAGACCTACGTTAGATCTGATTTATAGACTCTTGATTTCTACTTTCCACATTCTTGGTTATCTTTTCTGAGTTCAATCAATCAAACACCATACAATTTAATTATTAAAATAGAGGCCTATTTATTGGGGATCCATTTGTCATGTAAGATGAAACAGCACAGTCCTGCAATTCCCTTTCCTCCTTACTATCCAGAGCTGTGACAATGCTTATCTCTGGGTTCAGTGAGTCCTTGTGATTTAAAAAGAAGAAGAAGAAGAAAAAAACAGGAGATGGAAGGAGGGAGGGAAGGGAGAAATGAATGAAGAGAGAGAGGAAGGGAGAGAAGAAGGAAGGGAGGGAGAAAGGGATAGGGTGACTTCATGATTTGTTCAGGGAAATATTTTCTGGGTGCCCAAAAATTCATCATTACAGTTTGTCTACCAGATTTGGAATACTGTAGTGACTTTACTACTTCAGTCTATAGGTTCTTGAAATCAGATATGGAAAAGACTTTAATCAGATTCATTAGTTTGTTATTTGCCTCTTACCAACTTGTTGGAATTTGTTTTTTCTTTATAGTATTCAACAAACTCCTCATAACTTCATATTTTATTAACATGGGCCTCTGAAGGATATTTATCTCCTTCTTTGATATAAATTTACTTAAAACGAGATCCCTTAACTCCTATCATTTTTATAAAGCATGAGAATTAAATATTCTTTGCTTGGGTTGTCTTGGCAGAGAAAATGTCAAAGATTAGTCCCCCAGTATGCTCTTAATATTTAACTAGCATTCACAAGCCATCTACTTGTGTTTCAAAATATACAATTTTCATTCATACCATACATTAATACAGGCCACAGCTAGTTCAAATAGAAAATCACATCTAGAGGGTAGTGCTAAAACATTTTATCCTATAACAGCATACGGATTACAATTCTAATCATTGGAAATGGGAGGTCGGTCAGTAGGTATGACTGTAAGGCTCTCTGGATACTAGACCATTTCTTTTATCTGGTATATCCTGCTATGTCCTAGCTACTTGCACACAATGAGAAAAAAATGCTGGAAAACAGTGCAGCGAGAAGCAGAAAAAGAGTTTATCTGAGTTGGCTTCATTGTGCAAATACCAGAGGTAGTACACTAAATCTTTCATTCAATTCCTAGCCCAATTCTTTATCTCATCTTGGGAATTCCAGCACCTTCCTAGAAGTCTGCTATTGCTTACTCTGCAGCATTTCTATGTGGCTACCTCTTTCAGAATATAATAAATTTTATAAGCTCTTAGATTTAAATTCCACACATCCATATAGTGGATTGGCTTATAATCCATATTCTTATTCTTATCTCCCCTAATTCCAACACCACCCAGATAAAACTATGTGCATACAGTCTATTTTCCAAGAATTTCAGAATGCAAGACTCCAGCAGAATACAAGTGTCCGTATATCTGTATATTAATTAAGTTTTATACATTCCAGAAATTACTAGATTACACCATGCCCAATATAGGAAACAGATTTTATCTCAAGTCCAACTTTAATTAGTGGAGCTACGTAGAGTGAAGTACTGAAAATATTTATGATGTCTATTCAAGTTCAGCAGGAAAAAAGTGCCATTATAGAATATAATGTAAAACATGGGCAATAAAGGAAAAATTGGCAGCTTATATGCTATGTATTTTCCACCATAACCTGGACTTTCCCAGGTATAAACCTACGCTTATGGAAAAACCCTAGGGTCATTAAATATGCCCTGATTAGACAATGTTTTGCCAACAACCAATGAAAGAGAGCAAACTTTCACTTGTTTGACCTATATCTTATCAACTCCATTTTTTTCAACTTTTATTTTAGAATCAGGGGGTATATGTGCAGGTTTGTTCCAAAGGTAAATAATGTGTAATGTTGAGGCTTGAGGTATGAATGAACCTGTGACCCAGGTAGTGAGCATAGTACCCAAGAGGAAACTTTTCAGCCCTTGCCCCCTTCCATCCCCCCTTTTTCTAGTGGTCCTCAATGTCTATTGTTCCCATCTTTATGTCCATGTGTGCCCAATGTTAAACTCTCACCGGTAAGTAATAACATGAAGTATTTGGTTTTCTGTTTCTGGGTTAGTTCACTTAGGATAATGGCCTTCAGCTGTACCCATGTTGCTGCAAAGGACTGATTTCATTATTTTTATGGCTGCATAGTATTCCATGGTGTATATGGACCACATTTTCTTTATCCAATCCACCTTTGATGGGCCCCAGGGATGATTCTATGTTTTTTGTATTATGAATAGCATTGCGTGAACATATGGGTACTTGTGTCATTTTGGTAGAATGATTTATTTTTCTCTAAGTATATACCCAGTAATGGGATTGCTGGGTTGAATGGTAGTTCAACACTTAGTACTTTGAGTAATCTCCAAATTGCTCTCCACAGTGGCTGGACGAATTTGCATTCCCACCAATAGTGTATGTGTCCCCTTTTCTCTGCATCTTCATCAACATCTGCCATTTTTTGACTTTTCAACAGAAGCCATTCTGATTGGTGTGAGATGGTATCTCACTGTGATTTTGATTTGCATTTCTCTAATGATTGATGATGATGAGCATTTTTTCATAAGCTTGTGGGTCCATTGTAAGTCTTCTCTTGAGAAGTGTCTTTCATGTTCTTTGCCCCCTTTTTAATGGGGGTTTTTGAATTTTGCTTGCTGAATTAAGTTCCTTATAGAATCTGGATATTAGATCTTTGTCAAATGCAGAGTTTGCAAATATTTTCTCCCACTCTATGGGCTGTCTGTTTACTCCTTTAATAGTTTCTCTTGCTGTGCAGAAGCTCTTTACTTTAATTAGGCCTCACTTGTCAATTTTTTTGCTGTTGTTGCAATTGCCTTTTGAGGACTTAGTCATAAATTATTGCCAAGGCTGATATTGAGAAGAGCACTTCCTAGGCTTTCTTCTAGGATTTTTTTTTATTTTGAGGGCTTATGTTTAAGTCTTTAATCCATCTTGTGTTAACTTTCATATATGGTGATAGGTAGGGATCCAGTTGCATTCTTCTGCATATGGATAGCCCTTTATCCCAGCACCATTTATTGAATAAGAAGTCTTTTCCTCATTGCTTAATTTTTGTTGAGTTTGTTTAAGATCAGATGGTTGTAGATATTTGGCTTTATTTCTGCCTTCTCTATTTTGTTCCATTGACCTATGTGTCTGTTTTCGTACTAGTACCATGCTGTTTTGGTTACTATACTATACAAACTATACTATAGCCTTGTAGTATAGTTTGAAGACAGGTAATGTGTGGCCTCTGGCTTTGTTCTTTTTGCTTAGGATTGCTTTGCCTATTCAGGCTCTCTTTTAACTTCATGTGAATTTCAGAATAGTTTTCTCTACTTCTGTTAAAAAATGACATTGGTAGTTTGGAAATGCATTAAGTCCATAAATTGCTCTGGGCAGTATGACCATTTTAACTATATTAATTCTCCCAATCCATGAGCATGGAATGGTTTCCATTTATTTGTGTTGCCTAGACAGGAATGCCCACTCTAACCACTCGTATTTAACATAGTTCTGGAAGTCACAGTGAGAGCAGCCAGGCAAGAGAAAAAAAAAAGGCATCCAAATAAGTCAAACTATCTGTCTTCACAGACAATATGATTCTATACCTAGAAAACTCTAAAGACTCTGCCAAAAATCTCCTAGAACTGAAAATGACTTCAGTAATGTTTCAGGATGCAAAACCAATGTATAAAAAACACTAGCATTCCTATACACCAATAACATTCTAGCTGAGAGTCAAGTCAAGAACACAATCTCATTTACAATAGCCACATACAAAAAAAACAAAACATTAAATACCTAGAAATGCATCTAACCAAGGAGGTGAAATATCTCCACAAGGAGAATGACAAAACACTGTTAAAAGAAACCAAGACGTCTATTTTTCAATAACAGCTCTGTTGTTCTGTCTTCTTTCTCCTCTTCCTCAGTTCTGAATTTATGAAAGAGAACTCTTCAGTGCATTATGCATTAGAAAACTCAAGGCCAGGCACAGTGGCTCACGCCTATAATCCCAGCACTTTGGGTGGGCAAGGCAGGTGGATCAACTGAGGCCAGGATTTCGAGACCAGCCTGACCAACATGGTGAAACCCCATCTCTACTAAAAATACAAAAGTTAGCTGGGCATGGTGGCACTTATTGTAATCCCAGCTACTCAGGAGGCTGAAGCAGGAGAATCGCTTGAATCCAGGAGGTGAAGGTTGCAGTGAGCAGAGATCGTGCCACTGCACTCCAGCCTGGGCAACAGAGTGAGACTCCGTTTCCAAAAAAAAAAAAAAAGAAAGAAAGAAGAAAGAAAGAAAGAAAGAAAAAGAAAGAAAGGAAGGAAGGAAGGAAGGAAGGAAGGAAGGAAGGAAGGAAGGAAGGAAGGAAGGAAAGAAAGAAAGAAAGAAAGAAAGAAAGAAAGAAAGAAAGAAAGAAAGAAAGAAAGAAAGAAAGAAAACAGTGTTCAAGTCTTTCCTGCTAGAGTAATAAAGATTCCAGGAGACACACACACAAAATGGTTTTCTCATTGAGACTCATCAAATATCAAGATATGTCAGGTTGTGGGCTAGAAGGCAACAGAATTATTAAAGATATAGCCTTATGTTTAAGACATTGTAAAGACCACTCATGGGAGATCATACTCTTCTCCCAAACTTTTAATGCTCTCTGTAAATTAGGCATACATCTCACACTTCATTTCAGTATATAAAATTTAGATTACTAATTTTAATTTATATTTCACAAAGGTCTATTGATATTTCATTAACACTTTTGCTGAATTTCGTTAACCTTACAGATCATTTTGACATCACTTGTATAGTGAATATGCTTGTATAATCAATTTCCTGATGTTACTTATAATTTTGATCACACTTGTATAAACACTCCTGAGTGACAACCAAGCATATTCCCCAGATATTTTATCTACTGTATTCAAAACTTTTCTAATAGCAAATTTAGACTAACAAGCAAGATCTGCTTCATGAATATACAATCTATGCAACCACACAGGGCCTTCTTCTTGGTAAACTCTCTGTTGTCACCAACTTAAAATTTTTGTCGAAGGGGCACTACGTTTTCTTTTTTCACTGGACACTGTAAATTACACAGTCAGCCTTGCTAAAATGTTATCACCAAAAGTTTTATTTCATTAGCAAGGTGATGACATTCTGAACATTTTTTTATAAATTAGGCTTACGATTATCACATTTTAACAAAATTAACCTCTTCAGTATGCCCCTTTTATTTTCACATTTGTATTTATTATTCTCCTCTACTATGAATCCTTATGTATATGAAACTAATCATAAGATACGTGAAATTATAATTGCTTAAAAGACACATTGACTTAAAAGTCACACTTATGTGACTGCATGTTTGAAAACTCATTCTTAATCCAGCTTGCTAGTCAAAAGATGTTTATTTACAGAATACAAGTAGTAGTCGAGGATACAAATCTGCTAACTGATTATGAGACCATGTTCTGGCTACTTATAAAGTCTTCCAATGAATTTCTATCTACCCAGGGAAAATAAAAACTTCTTTGTCACCATAGCAATTTTCCAAGTACGATAAAGTTAGAAAGAGATTACAATGGAAGGGAATTGGTATTGTAAGTAATTTCATTTGCTCATAGAAAGTGATTACCAATTTCCCATTTTTAGTGCTTTTACACTGCTTAGGATATTTCTGCTGTGTCTTAATTACTTCACATGTGCTATGCAGAAATATTTATCTTACAGCAAGACAGTGTAAGCCCAATCTTTCATTCTAAAACTATTTCTAATTTGATCTTTTCCTTTTGATATGTTTAATGTATCCATTTAAAATTTGAATTCACCTAATTTATTCAGTAATTGTGTGATATAATATAAAGCATAATATTAAGAACATTAGAAAATTCTGAAAGTATGATATTCTGGGACCAAGATGGTCAAGTGCAAATTTTGCAAAAGAAAAATACAGACTTTGTAATTGTAATAAAGTAAGGTATAAAAAATATACTTTGGATCTCGTAGACATATCTAAAATATTAAAAGAAACATTATATGTATATATTTTGCTCCTCTTATTCATACCCAATTCTAGTTTTAAATTCTAAAAACTTTACTGGAGTTCTCACTTGACCACTGAACAATAGTAACAAACTAAATATTCAACTACCTTTCCATGACATAGTTTTCTTAACAGCAAAGCTGATAGATAACACGTATTTAAGCAAACAAAATGACAAAGTGATAAGAAAAGACACACACAGCATGTAAAATGTTATTCAGTATGTCTTTAATGAGCTATTTTTTCCAAAGTCCAGTATTCCACAACTCCCTGGTAGTTTTCTATTTTTTTTCCACCATGACTTCCACACCTGATGACATGAATCTACCACTAAAGAGATGCCTCTTGTGCCCTTAACCAATGTCCTTTCTTAAAGTTTGGGTAAAGCTCTACCCCAAGACAAATTCTTTTTTACCCAAATCTCAGAGGATGGGACAGACAGGGAGTTTGGACATGAAATGATGTTGAAGACTTGGAATCACTGAATTCATGTCTCACAAACATACATGAGTAGTATGCACCTACAGATGTTTTTAAATTTGCATTACTCAAATATGCAAAATTTGTTTTTAAATTTGCATTAGTGTTTTTAAATTTTTAAAAAGTTTTTAAATTTGCATTACTCAAATATGCAAAATTATCTTGAATAATTGCAAATATCTTGAATAATTATCTTCTCTGCTCTTATCACAACATAGTTGACAAGACGTAACCACTTGAAAGAATGGAAGAATGCACAGGTGCTTCTTTCCCTTCCTTTCTTCTATGTTTTTCAAGTGCCTGGAACTCTTACTCATGTTGTTCTGGTGTGGTGCAGAAGAGGAAATCACTATCCCTACTAGTTTGGCTTGTGAAGCAGGGAGAATTCTTCACAGGTTTTGAGATTGACCTCAGAATGTGTTTTTCAATAAAGAGGCAAAGTTTTATATGTTCGAGACATACTGCCATACAGTAAGTGATTTTGCATGTTATATTAACTATACAACTTGGTTTTAGTGAGTTCACCACAAAACTTCATTAACATCCACAAAATAAAGTCTCTAAAAGAAAATGTTTCTGATTTAAAACTTCAGTTTTTTAAAATTATTTTTGTGGGTACATAGTAGGTATATATGGGTTATATGAGGTATTCTGATACAGGCATACAATGTATAATAATTACATCAGGGCAAATGAGGTATCTATCACCTCAAGCCCTGATCCTTTGTGTTACAAACAATTATATTCTTTCAATTATCTTTAAACATGCGATTAAATTGTTATTGAATATAATGACCCTGTTAGCCTGTCAAATACTAGATCTCATTCATTCATTCTACTTTTCTGTACCCATTAACTATCCCATCTTCCCATCCACCCCCACTACTACCCTCCCCAGCCTCTGGTAACCATCATTTTACTCTGTATCTCCATGAGTACAAACGTTTTAATCTTTAGCTCCCACAAATAAGTGAGAACATGCAAAGTTTGTCTTTCTGTGCCTGGCTAATTTCACTTAACAGAATGACATCCAGTTCCATCCATGTTGCTACACACGACAGGATATCATAGTTCTGTTTTTTTTTGTTTGTTTGTTTGTTTTTTTGAGATAGAGTCTCACTCTGTCACCCAGGCTGGAGTGCATTGGCACAATCTCAGCTCACTGCAAACTCCGCCTCCTGGGTTCAAGCGATTCTCCTGCCTCAGCCTCCCGAGTAGCTGGGATTACAGGCGCATGCCACCATGCTCAGCGAATTTTTGTATTTTTAGTAGAGACGAGGTTTCACCATGTTGTCCAGGCTGGTCTCAAACTCCTGACCTCAGGTGATCCACCCTCCTTGGCCTCCCAAAGTGCTGGGATTACAGGCGTGAGCCATTTTATGGCTGAATAGTACTCCATGCTGTATATGTACCACACTTTCTTTATCTATTCATCAGTTGATAAATGTGAAGGTTTCTTCCATATCTTGGCTATCATGAAGAGTGCTGCAATAAACATAGGAGTGTCCATATCTCTTTAACATATTGATTTCTTTTATTTCAATAATATACCTAGCAGTGGGATACCTAGGTCATATGGTAGCTCTATTTTTAGTTTTTTGAGGAACATCCAAATTGTTCTCAATAGTGGTTGTATTAATTTACATTCCCACCAACAGCGCATGAGAGTTTCCTTTTCTCCACATCCTTGTCTGCATTTGTTATTGTCTGCCTTTTGGATAAAAGCCATTTTAACTGGCATGAGATGATATATCTTTGCAGTTTTAATTTGTATTTCTCTGATGATTAATGATACTGAACACCTTTCATATACCTGTTTGCCATTTGCATGTCTTGACAAATGTCTATTCAGACCGTTTGACCATTTAAAAATCAGATTAATAGATTGTTCCTACAGAACTGTTTGTGCTACTTATATTGATACGGTTTGGCTGTGTCCCCATCCAAATCTCATCTTGAATTGTAATCCTCATGTGTCCAGGGAGAGACCTGGTGGGAGGTGATTGAATCACAGGGGTGGTTTCCCCCACGCTGTTGTCGTGACAGTGAGTTCTCATGAGATCTGATGGTTTTATAAGTGTTTGACAGTTCCTTCCTCACACACTCACACTCTCTCCTGCCTTGTAAAAAAGGTGCCTGCTTCCGTTCTGCCATGATTGTAAGCTTCCTGAAGCCTCCGGAGTCATCTAGAACTGTGAGTCAATTAAACCTCCTTTTAAAAAAAAAAAAAAAAAAAAAAAAAAAATATATATATATATATATATATATATATATATATATAAATTGTCCAGTCTCAGGTAGTATCTTTATAGCAGTGTGAAAATGGACTAATACATATATAATCTGGTTATTAATTCCTTGTCAGATGGACAGTTTGCAAATATTTTCTCCCATTCTGTGGGTTGTCTCTTTACATTGTTGATTGTTTCCTTTGCTGTGCAGATGCTTTTTAACTTGTTGTGATCTCATTCGTCCACTTTTGCTTTAGTTGCCTGTGCTTGGTGGAGTATTACTCAAAAAATCTTTGCCCAGTTCAATTTCCTGAAGAGTTTCCCCAAAGTTTTATTTTAGTAGTTTCACAGTTTGAGATCTCAGATTTAAGTCTTTAACCCACTTTTATTTGATTTTTGTATATGGTAAGAGATAGCAGTCTAGTTTCATTCTTCTGCATATGGACATCCAGTCTTCCCAGAACCATTTATTGAAAAGACTATCCTTTCCCCAGTGTATGTTCTTCACAGCTTTATCAAAAATGAGCTCACCATAGATGTATGGATTTATTTCTGGTTTCTCAATTATGCTCCATTGATCTATATGTCTGATTTTTGCACCAGTGCCATGCAGTTTTGTTTACCATAGCTTTGTATAATAATTTGAAGTCAGGTAATGTGATTCCTCCAGTCTTCTTCTTTTTGTTCAGTAGAGCTTTGCCTATTCAGAGCCTTTTGTGGCTCCATATAAATTTTAGCATTTTTTTTCTATTTCTGAGAGAAATGTCTAGGTATTTCGAGAGGAATTGTATTAAATCTGTAGATTGATGTGGGTACCATGGACATTTTAACAAAATTTATTTTTCCAATCCATGAACATGGAATATCTTTCCATTTTCTTGTGTCCTTATCCAATTCTTTCATCAATATTTTATAGTTTCCATTGAAGAGATCTTTCATGTCTTTGGCTACATTAATTCCTAAGTATTTAATTTTATTTGTAGCTATTATAAATGCAATTACTTTCTTGATTTCTTTTTCAGATTGTTCACTGTTGGCACATAGAAATGCTACTGAATTGTATATATTGATTTTGTATCCTACAACTTTACAGAAGTTGTTTATCAGTTCAAATAGATTTTTGAAGTCTTTAGGTTTTTCCAAATATAAGATCATATCATCTGCAAACAGGGATAGTATGATCCAATTTAAATGCTCTTTATTTCTTTCAATCAGACAGTAGTCTGATTCCTCTATCTAGAACTTCCAGTACTATTTTGAATAATAGTGGTGAAAGTGAACATCCATGTCATGTTCCAGATCTTAGAGGAAAGTCTTTCAGTTTTTCCCTAGTCTGTATGATACTAGCTCTGGGTCTATCACATATGGATTTTATTATGTTGAGGTGTGTTCCTTCTATATCCAGTATTTTTTACAGTTTTATTATTTTATCAAATGATTTTTCAGTGTCAATTGAAATGATCATATGGTGTTTGTCCTTCATCTTGTCAATTTATTACATTGACTAATTTGCATATGTTGAATCATCCTTGCATCCCTGGAATAAATCCCAGTTGGTCATTATGAATGATCTTTTTAATGTGTTGCTGAATTCAGTTTGCTAGTATTTGTTGAGTATTTCCGAATCAACGTTTATCAATGATATTGACCTGTAGTTTTCCTTTTCTGATGCTTATCTGGTTTTGGTATTGAGGTAATGCTGGCCTTACAGAATGAGTTTGGAAGTATTCCCACTTCCTATAATATTTGGAGTAGTTGCAGTGGGACTGGTATTAGCTCTTTAAAGGTTTGGAAAAATTCAGCAGTGAATCCATTGGGTCTTGGGCTTTTCTTTTCTGGATCCCTTTCATTAGAGCTTCAATCTCATTACTTGTTTCTGGTCTGCTCAGATTTTAGATTTCTTCACAGGTCAATCTTGGTAGGTTATATGTGTCTAGGGATTTCTCAATTTCTTCTCAGTTTTCCAATTTATAAGCATATAGTTCCTCAAAGTAACCTCTAATGATCCTTTGAATTTTTGCGGTATCAATTGTAATGTCCCCTTTTTCATCTCTGGTTTTATTTGGATTTCCTCTTCTGTTTTCTTAGTCAGGCTAAAGGTTTGTCAGGTTTTTTTTTAATCTTTTTACAAAACCAACTTTTTGTTTCATTGATCTTTTGTATTGTTTTCTTCAATTTCATTTATTTCTGCTCTAATATTCATTATTTCTTTTCTTCTACTAATTTTGGGTTCAGACTTCTTTTGCTTTTCCAGTTCTTTAAGATGCACTGTTGTGTTGTTTATTTGAAGTTTTTCTTCTATTTTGATGTAGATACTTATAGCTATAAAATTCCTTTTTGTACTACCTTTGCTGTAGCCTATAGATTTTGGTATGCTGTTTTCATTATCAATTGTTTCAAGAAATTTTTCAGTTTCCTTGTTAATCTCTTCATTGACCCACTAGTCACTCAGAAACAAACTATTTAAGTTCCATGTGTTGTACATCTTTCAAAATTTCTTGTGTTATTTATTTCTAGTTTTATTCAATCATGATCAAAGAAGATAATCCATATGATTTCAATTATATTAAATGTTTTAAGACTTGTTTTTTGACCTAACATATGGTCTATCCTTGAGAATGATCCCTGTGCTAAGGAGAAGACTATGTACTCTGCAGCTGTTGCATGAAATGTTCTGTAAAAGTCTATTAAGTCTATTCAATCTAAATACAGATTAAATGTTTCTTTGCTAGTTTTCCAACTGGATAATCTGTCCAATGCTGAAAGTTGGGTGTTGAAGTCTCCAGCTATTGTATTGATCTACCTCTCTCTTTAGCTCTAACATCTGCCTTACATATCTGGGTACTCTGGTGTTGAATGCACGTATATTTATAATTGTTATATCCTCTTGCTGAATTGACCCATTTATCATTAAATAATGTCCCTCTTTGCCTCTTTTTGTAGTCTTTGTTTAGAAATCTATTTTGTCTGATGTAAGTGTAGCTACTCTTATTTTTTTTTGTTTCCATTTCCATGGAGTATCTTTTTACATTCCTTTATTTTCTGTCTAGGTGTGTCTTTATAGGTGAAGTACATTTCTTGTAGGCAACAGATCGTTTGGTCTTGTTTTTTCATTCATTGACCAACTCTGTTTTTTGATTGGTGCATGTAATCCATTTACATTCAATGTTCTCATTGATAAGTAAGGACTTACTCCTGCCATTTTGTTATTTATTTTTCTGATGTTTTGTGTGGTCCCACTTCCTTCTTTTCTTCCTTTCTGTCTCCCTTTTAGTGAAGTTGATTTTCTCTGCTGGTATGTTTTGAGTTCTTGTTTTTTATTTTTTGTGTATCTGTTTTATTTTTTTATTTGAGATTACCATGAGGCTTGCAAATAATATAGTATAACCCATTATTTTAAACTGATGACAACAGTGATTGCATAGACAAACTAATAAGCAAAAAGAAAACTAATATAAACTCTGCACTTTAACTTCGTATTCCCACTTTTTAACTTATCATTGTTTCTATTTTATTATACTATCCATGTCTGAAATTGTTGTAGTTATTATTTTTGATTGTTTCATCTTTTCATCTTTCTACTTAAGATATGAGTACTTTACACACCACAATTACAACATTATAATATTCTGTGTTTTTCTGCATATTTATTACTACCAGTGAGAACCTTCAGATGATTCCTTATTGCTCATTAACATTATTTTCTTTCAGACTGAAGAACTCCCTTTAGCATTTCTTGTACAACAGATCTGGTATTAATGAAATCTCTCAGCTTCTATTTGTCTGAGAAAGTCTTTATTTCTCCTTTTTGCTTGAGGAATATTTTAACTGAATATACTATTCTAGGGTAAAAGGTTTTTTTCCTTCATCACTTTAAATATGCCATATTCCTATCTCCTGGCCTGTAAGGTTTCCTTGGAAGCGTCTACTGACAGATGTACTAGAACTCCATTGTAGGTTATTTGTTTCTATTCCCTTGCAATCTGTGCTTGTTTGTACTTACCCTTCTTGGGAAGGTTTTCCAGGTGTTAGAAGAGAATTGGGCATATGGTCTAAAGTTTTGTTCACTGAAGCCATATCTGCATTAGGGGGTACCCAAGCCCAGTTATGTTGTAGTTCTTGCATACTTAGAGAGGTACCACCTTGACAGTTTGGGATAAGATCTGGAAGAATTATCTGGATGACCAGGGAGAGACTCTTGTTCTTACTTTCTCCCAAACAAATGAAGTCCTTCTCTCTGTGCTCAGCTGCCTGCAGCTGGGGAAGGGGTGACACAAGCACCCCTGTGGTCACCCCCACTGGGACTATGCTGGGTCAGACCCGAAGCCAGAATAGCACTGGGTCTTTTCCAAGGCCTGCTATAGCCACTACCTATCTCTATGTTTGCTCAAGGTCCAGGGCTCTACAATCAGCAGGTAGCGAACCCAGCCAGATTTGTGTTCTTTTCTGAAGGGTTGCAAGGTCCCCAGGCCCCAGGTGGGTCCAGAGATGCTGTCCAGGAGCCAGTGCTTATAGTCAGAAACCTTAGGAATCTACCTAGTTCTCTGTTCTACTGTGGCTGAGCTGGAATACAAGCCACATGACAAAGTCTTTCCCCCTCTTCATTCCTCTTTCCCCAAGCAGGAGATTCTCCCTGTGTCCACTACCACCAAGGGCCCATGGAATGTACTGCCAGGGTACCACTGATGTTCACTGAAGTAAGGCCCAAGTACTCTTCAGTCAGCTTGTGGCAAATGCTGCCAGGCCTAAGACTACCCTTTCTAACACTGGGCTCCCCTCTGGCCCAGGGTAGGCCTAGAAATGCTGTCCAAAAGCCAAAGCCTAAAATTGGGGACCCCAAGAGTTGGCTTGGTGCTCTACCCCACAGTGGCAGAGCTGCTACTTAAGATGCAAAACAAAGTCCCCTTTATTCTTATATCTCTGCTTTTCTCAAGCAGAAGAGGCCTCTCCTTATAGCCCCCAAGTCCACTTGCTCCAAGCACAGCATAGTACTAAGACTTGCCTAGGATTTGTAGTCCCTGTGGCCTAGTGAGCCTTTCAAGTTTATTTAGGACCCCAGACAGTTTAGCCAATGGTGATGAGGCTTGTCGAAACTCAAGTTCCAACCCCAGGAATGGGCAATTTCTCTCTGGCTAGGGCTAGTCTAAATGCTCCCTCCATGGGTACCAGCTGAGTTCTTCCAGTGCAAAATCCTGATTGCTCACTCTCCCTCCCCCAGAAGCACAGATTCTCTCTCCTGTGCTGTGCAGCTACTGTCAGAGAATGGGGGAGGGGTGGCATCAGCAATTCAAGACTTTCTTTCCTACCATCTTCAGTGCCTCTTTTAGCAATATAAAGTTAAAACCACGTACTAGGATGGTTAACCTGATTTTCAGTTCGTATGTAGGTGCTTTTTTGTGTAGACAAGTCAGTGGAGGTTTCCATTTGGTCATCTTGCTCCACAAAAAAAAAAAATTCCCAATTTTAATATGCTCTGGACTATATAGATTAAAATACTATACATACTGGAGAGTAACAATGATTTACATACAATACAGAGAAAACATTTCATGAGTTTTCTTAGCCACATGACATTCATTTTAGTTCTCTAGAGAAAATTAGGAAGGGTAGAAGGAACCAAAGAAGAAAGGAAAGGTAGGTTAGTTGGTTTTAGAATTTAAAAATCTATCTCAATACTTTCATACTGAATCATATAACCTGAAGTATTGAAATGTAAGATAAATGATAGTGGTTCCTGTCAGTTCTATTATGATGATAATTATAATATTTATAACAGCTATGTTTTAGTGGGACATTGCAGTTTTAAATATTTAGCTATGGTTGTAAGTGAAATAATTTAAATCTGAATATGAATAACTAAGGGTTTTCCCAGTTAAACATCTTGCTGCAAAATATCTGAAGGCTACAAAGTTAAATATCTTGGTGCAAAATATCTGAAGGCTACAACAGAACTAAACTTGTATTTAAATGACTAAAAATGCTGTAAGATTATAATAGAGCTATTTAAGCAGAGTCTCAGGATGTGATTGTCAGAAGACTGCAGTGCATTTTATTCTATGTATCTATTCAATCAAGAAAATGAAATACAATTATGACCAATTTATTTCTCTTACAGAAGTACTATAAAAGAGGTTCTTATCCTTAAGATCATGCAATTAATATTTCATAGTGTAAAACAGCTGGATTCAGAATTTAAGTATGAAATATCTCCTCTTCGTTACATTCAGAACAATACGTTTTATTTTGTAATAATTGGGAAATTGATATAACTTAATAGTATAGAATATTTTATTATAATTTTTGATAGCTTATTTCATTGGCATTTTTAAAAACATGGCAATGTGGACAGAAATATCTTTAAGACTATTTTAATGTAATCAAGTAATAATCACAAATTTTCATTTCTAAATCATTATGTTCAAGAAAAAATATTAACCAGTCCTAATATTACACTAGTGAAATTTGATCATTTAAATTTTACTTTACTTTTTTAATACCTGATGAATCATTACTGTCATTTACCTTTGATATACATTTATATAAATACATAATATACATACAAATATATTTTATTCTAAATATGAAAGTTACTTTCTATGAAAGCACATTTTTGCCATAAAAATACATACTGAATTCCATTCAAAAGAAAAAGTAAAATAAAAAATATTGCCTCAGGAATATAGGTAGGTATAATTATTTTAAGAACTAAAAAATAGTCAAGGAAGAGATTGCAAGTAGTTCATACACTCTTCCCTTCAACACACTCTATAAAGGTCTGTATCTCGCAAAATTAAAGATTATATATAATACATAAGCTATCTGAGATACAAGAATATTCTTTACTAGATGTCATTTTTAAGATATTCACATAGTTTATGAAGACAGAAGAAAATTATACCCTCAATTTAAAATAAAATAGTCAAAGAATATCAGAAAAGGAAAATGGGTTATGTTTAGTGGGACAATGTAATCTGGAGCTTATTAAGACTTCTTTTTATAAACGAATAAATTCAGAATTAATATATCAACTTAGAGGACTGGAAAAATAAAATCACTTCATAATCATCAAGATAACCTTAATAATCCAGACAGGAATATTAAATGCTCAGATAGCTGGATTAAAATGTTATAAATGTTAATTGTCTCAAAATATTCCAGCAAACTCAACCATCCAGGATAAAAAAAAAAGTGTATTAGACAGCTATGTAGACACTGAATAGTAGAGCAGATTTACTGATTGACACCAAAAGGAGAAAAATAAAGTTTAGAAATATACAAAAACAACCTACAAAAAGCATTCCAGTAAACAGGAAAGTAACACAATATGAAGGATGTTCTTGTCAGTTCTTCTCTTGTTAGTTTGTGTTGTAGGTGGGGCAGTGACATAAATGATCCTAATATGAAAATATTCTGTAATAAACTAACTTTTTATAAAGTTAATAGCCAATGAAATTTTTCACCCCAGTTAGTACTAGACTGACTCGATAGATATCATGTTAATGTCTTTGGGAGTCAGGTTTGCAGTATAAACAACCAAAAATGCAATGTATACACAATACAATAAATTCCAAAGCAGAACATGTAAAAAGTGCAAGATTCCACTCAATTTATGAAAGTGAGGGTAGAAAACTGCTCAAAACACTCAAAGCCATTTACAAATTGGGACTGTAACACCAGTTAATTGTGGAAGAAGAGAATATTGACAAGAATAGCAATAAAGAGCACATTTGGAATATCACAGATTATGCTCATAAGGAAATTCATCAAGCCCACGGTGTATTTTAACAAGAGGTCCTCTTTACTATGGTGCTCTAAAAGTCAAGTGTGACTTGAAAACTGCTATATCTTTCTTTTGTAGCTTTATGCCTAAAAAATGCTTCCCCAAGTGGGGGCAAAGTTAGGGGGGTCTGTGCTCTGACTTTCCTTGATGGGGACAAGTCATGGCCCCTGTGAGGGTTGGCGGTGGCTCTCAGGCCACTGGGGTAATGTTCCAGAGGGGAGTATAATAGTCTGCTGCACAGAAGAATTCACAAAGGGGTTATGGAGTAGCAGTTGGCCATGCCCCTCCACTGGCCCTACTAGCTTAACACAAAGGACATAAACTTTTGGGAGCTTTATAGCTCCACCCATCACCTGAGAAACCAGAATACTTACCCCAGACTACTTAGGGCAAGCTCAAATCCCACTGCCTCTGTGCCAGCTGATGCCCCTTTTCAAGCGCCACCTCTGTTGGAGGTCAATCAACTCGGGCCATTACAGCATCTCTAGGTAGAATAACTCTGTGCCCAGGAAAAAGAAAATGGCTGTGTGACTTCGGCTATCAACTTTGCCTGCAGTACTCTGGTTAACCAGAGGTCCTGAGTCTGTCCACATGACAAGTTCACTATGATTATAACCAGCATTTGAAAAAGCCAGCACACTAAGCCTATCTACAACCAAGGAATCTCACAGGGTCTACATCACTCCCCTGCCACCTCCATCAGAGCTGGTGCTGCTTCCCAATGCTGGGAGACTTAAAGTCAGTTCACATAGCCGGATTCTTTGCAGACATCCCCAGTACGAGTCCAGAGTGTGGCAGCCCCACTGGGTGGCTAGCCCCAGAAAGGCAATACCAATCACTGTAGTCTGGCTCTCAGGAACTCCTACTACTAGGGGAAGAGGGAGAATGCCACTTCTAGGGAACATGCCATGGGACAAAAGAATCCGGATGGCAGGACTTGAGTCCCAGATCTTTCCGCTGGTGGGAAGTTTCTCATAGCAGAGATGCTATTGCAGCACTGGGCTCAGTGGAGAAAGTCTGCACCTCTACCCCAACAGTCAGGCAGCACATGAAGGGTCTTGGAGAAGGGGCCCTTGTTTCTGCCTTGTCCACAACTGCAGACACAACTGAGACTCCTCCCACAGGAACTCAGCGAGGACACATCTATAGACAGCCTTCCTGGAACATTTCAGGGTGATTATGTCCCCACAGGAGGAGCACTCCCCAGGTTCAGGATTGCATGAGTGGCAGAGTCATAATTCCTCTCTACTTGGAATATCAATGTTCTTACAGACAAAAAGAGGTACCTGTCTGATCTGAACAGCCAGAACACAGGGGCAGGAGTGAGGCTGGGAGGTAGACAGATTTCCTACTGGCCTGGCAGGGGAGTTAAGGTAGCTCCCACCCTTCCCCCTGCTAAAACTTCAGTGCATCTAATGGAGAGCTCTCCCAGCCACCTTCATCAAGGCTGGGATCCCTGCCCACCATTGGGTATTGCATCTACCCACTGGCTTTAGCAACAACTGATTCCTACCCGGAGATACATCCTCTATTGGCCTAAAACTTGAACCATTAACTCAGTAAATAAAATAACAGGAAAAAACTAATTAAAATTTTAAAAATGCATACGATGGGGCAATGAAATAAGCTTCAAGAGATCCTTGCTTTTCCAACCCCATAGGAGACAGTGAACTTGCCCACACATCAAGTACATAACTAATACAATGAGCAGCTAAGAAAGCCAGCACACAAAGACTCTGTAACAAACGAACTCATACAGTCTTCAGCCCTAAAAGCACCAAGAATCAAATGAGGCTATAATAAACTATAAACATTAAAGCCACATCCTCAAGAGGATAAAAAGAAATTTAAAAGAAATCAAATATAAATTTAAAAACAATTTAAAGCAATACTCTACCTAAGACAGGGATTTGTAATATGACAAAACAGGGTTCTTTAATATCCCCAAAAAATCACAGAAGCTCCCTAGCAATGGATCCAAACCAAGATGAAATATTTGAAATAGCAAATAAAAATTCAGAAGGTTTATTATTAAGCTACTCAAGGAAATACCAGAGAAAGGTGAAAATCAACAAAAATAAATTTAAAAAAAATTCAATATATAAGTGAAAAAGTTTCCAGACAGATAGATATCTTAAAGAAAAACCAATCAGAACTTCTAGAAATGAAAGACACATTTAGGGAAATACAAAATGTAACAGAAAGTTTCAACAATAAAATAAGTATAAGAAAACATTTCAAAGCTTGAAGACACAGCTTTCAAATTAACCAATCAGACAAAGATGAAGCAAAAAGAATCAAAAGAAATACACAAAGTCTCCAAGAAATATGGGATTATGTAATATGGCCAAACCTAAGAATAATTGGTGTTCCTGAGGAAGAAGAGAAGACTAAAAGTTTGAAAAGATATTTCAGGGAATAATTGAGAAAAACTTTCCTGACCTTGCTAGAGATTTAGATATCCAAATACAAGAAGCACAAAGAACTCCTGGGAAATTCATTGCAAAAAGATCATCACCAAGGTACATAGTCATCAGGCTATCTAAAGTCAACATGAAGGAAAGAATTCTAAGAGCTGTGAGACAAAAGCATCAGGTAACCCACAGAGGAAAAGCTATCAGACTAACAGAAGACTTCTCAGCAGAAACCTCACAAACTAGAAGGAACTGAGTTCCTATCTTTAGCCTCCTTAAACAGAACAATTGTCAGCCAAGATTTTTGTTTCCAGTGAAACTTAGCTTCATAAATGATGAAGAGATAAAGTGTTTTCCAGACAAACAAATGCTGAGGGTATTTGCCACTACCAAACCAGCACTACGAAAAATGCTAAAAGTTCTAAATCTTGAACCAAAAGCTCAATGTGCACCAAAATAGAACCTCCTGAAAGCATTAAGCTCACAGGGCCTATAAAACAATAACACAGTGAAAAAAAAAACAGTGTATCTAGGTAACAACTAATATGATGAATATGATGAATATAACAGTACTTCGTATCTCAATAATAACATTGAATGTAAATGGCCTAAATGCTCCACTTAAAAGGTAAAGAATGGCCGAATGGGTTTAACAAAACCAACACCTAGCCAGGTGTGGTGCCTCACACCTCTAATCCTAGTACTTTGGGAGGCCAAGGCAAGCAGATCACTTGAGGTCAGGAGTTCAAGACCAGCCTGGCCAACATGGTGAAATTCCGTTTCTACTAAAAATAGAAAAATTAGCCAGGTGTGCTGGCACACGCCTGTAATCCTAGCTACTCGGGAGGCTGAGGCAGGAAAATTGCTTGAACCCAGGAGGCGGAGGTTGCAGTGAGCCAAAATAGTGCCATTGCACTCCAGCCTGGGCAACAAGAGTGAAACTCTGTCTTAATAAATCAAGAAATAAATCAAATAAAAAATTAGAAAACCACCAAACAATATCTACTGTCTTCAACAGACTCATCTTACACATAAGCATTCACATAAACTCAAGGTCAAAGGGATAGAAAAAGATATTCCATGTAAATGAAAACCAGAAGAAGTAGGAGTAGCTATTCTTATGTCAGACAAAACAGACTTTAAGGCAACACTAGTAAAAAAAAGACAAAGAACAATATTATATCATCATAAAAGTAGCAGTCCAACAAGAAGACATTACAATCCTAAACCTATATGCAACTAACACTGGAGCTCCCAGATTTATAAAACAATTACTGCTGGACCAAAGAAATGAGATAGCAGCACAATAATAGTGGAAGACTTCAATACTCCACAGAACACTAGACAGATCATCAAGGCAGAAAGTCAACGATTTTATAACCAATACCACAAAAATACAAAAGTTCACTGAAGTCTACTATGAACACCTTTACATGCACAAACTAGAAAACCCAGAGGAAATGGATAAATTCTTAGAAATATACAACCCTCTTAGATTAAATCAGGAAGAAACAGGAACACTGAACAGACCAATACCAAGTGGTGAGACTGAATCAATAATTTTAAAAAATTGCCAGTGAAAAGAAGTACAGGACCAGATGGATGTACAATTGAATTCTACCAGACATTCAAAGAAGAATTGGTACTAATCCTACTGAAATTATTCCAAAAGATAAAGAGAGAATCTTCCCTAAGTCATTCGATGAAGCCAGTACCACCCTAATAGCAAAACCAGGAAAGGACATAACAAAAAAGAGAAAACTACAGACCAATATCACTGATAAACATAGATGCAAAAATCATCAACAAAATACTAGCTCACCAAATCCAACAGCTGGTGGATGATCAAAATGATAATACATCATGACAAAATGAGTTTAGTCACAGAGATGCAGGGATGGTTTAACATACACAAGTCAATAAATGTGATATATCACATAGCTAGAATTGAAAACAAAAACCATATGATCATCTCAATAGATAAGGGAAAAGCACTTGGTAAAATCCAGCATCCCTTCATAATAAAAACTCTTAACAAAATAGGCATAGAAGGGACTTACCTCAAAGTAATAAAAGCCATATATGACAAACCCACAGCTAACATCTTAGCTAAAAGCATTTCCCCTGAGAACTGGAGCAAGACAAGGATGCCCACTTTCACCATTTCTATTCAACATAGTACAGGAAGTCTTAGCCAGAGCAATTAGGCAAGAGAAAGAAATAAAGGACATACAAATTGGGAAAAAAAAAGAAGTCAAACTGTCACTGTTCACTGATGATATGATCATATACCTAGAAAACCATAAATACTCATCCAAAAGGCACCTAGATCTGATAAACAAATTCAGTAAAGTCTCACATTACAAAATCAATGTATACAAAGCACTGCTATTCACCAACAATGATCAAGCTGAGAATCACATCAAGAACGCAATCCCTTTTGCAATAGCTGCAAAAACAATAAAATACCTAGGAATATACTTAACTAAAAAGGTGAAAACTATAAAGGAAAACTACAAAACACTACTGAAAGAAATCACAGATGACACAAATGAAAACACATCCCATGCTCATAGATAGGAAGAATCAATATTGTGAAAATGACCATACTGCCTGAAGCAACCTGCAGATTCAATGCTATTCCCATCAAAATACCACCATCATTCCTCACAGAACTAGAAAAAACAATCCTAAAATTCATATGGAACCAAAAAAGAGCCCACATAACCAAAGCAATACTAAGCAAAAAGAACAAATCTGGAGGTATCACATTGCCAGACTTCAAATTATACTACAAGGCTGTAGTTACCAAAACAGCATGGTTGCAAAGAAAGTGAGGGGTGTAAGACTACATATTTGATACAGTGTACACTGCTTAGGTGAGGAGTGCATTAAAATCTCATAATTCACCACTAAAGAACTCATCCATGTAGCCAAAAAACACCTGTACCCCAAAAACTATTGAAATAAAAAATAAAACTAACACATATGTACTATTAATTGTATAGTGTATTGAAAAATGGCTAGAAAATCAAATCATTATGACTGTTTATCTTTGAAAGTGAAACTATAAATAAGGAACTTTGTGTATTTTAACATTATTATACTCTCTTAAAATATTCTTTGAGTTTCTTACACATATTTCACTTTGATATTTTTGTTTGTTTGTTTTTGAGATGGAGTCTCACCTTTCGCCAGGCTGGAATGCAGTGGCGTGATCTCAGCTCACTGCAACCTCTGCCTCCCAGGTTCAAGTGATTCTCCTGCCTCAGTCTCCCGAGTAGCTGGGATTACAGGCGTGCACCACCACGCCCAGCTAATTTTGTATGTTTAGTAGAAACGGGGTGTTACCATGTTGGCCAAGATGATCTCAATCTCTTGACCTCATGATCCACCTGCCGCGGCCTCCCAAAGTGCTGGGATTACAGGCATGAGCCACCGTGCCCATCCGATATTTTTTTAAATGAGTAAATAATTATTTTTCTGTGATGTCATACCAGTAGCCCTTAAATACAGAATGGGAGTCATCAGCCTATAAAAACCAGAAATTATTATCTGGCTATAGAGTCTGGAACCTTAAGTTTGAGATCGCTTCCTTTCAAATGATTGGAGTTAACAGCTAGGAAAACTGAACAGTGTGGCGGTTAATTTTATGTGTCAACTTGACTGGACCACAGACTGCCCAGGTATTTGGTTAAACATTATTGAGGGTATGTCTGTGAGTCTATGAAGATGTTTCTGGATGAGATTAGCATATGAAATCAGTAGCCTGAATCAATCGGATTGCCTTCTCCAATATGAGTGGGGCTTATCCAATCCCTTGATGGCCTGAATAGAATAAAAGGCTGAGTCAGGGGGAATTCACTCCTCTACTTGACTGTCTGGGAGCTACAATATCAAAATTCTCCTGTCTTCAGACTCAGATTCAGACTGGAACTATGTAATTGACTCTCCTGGGTCATCAGACAGCCAACAGCAAATCTTGGAATTTTCCAACCTCCATAATCGTGTGAGCCAATTCCTTATAATAAATAAACATTTACTTAAGTATTTACATGTTTATGTTAAATCTCTCTCCTTCTTTATCTATCTAAGTATCTATGTATCTATGTATCTATGTATCTATCTATCTATCTATCTATCTATCTATCTGTATCCTATTGGCACTCTCTCTCTCTGGACTAACACAAGGAGCATGCTATGCTATTTAGACCATAATTAATCTCTTTTCCACCAGCATAAATCCCTGCTTTGCTCATTTGACTTTTAAATACACCAAAAAATATTTTTTGCTCCCTTAAACATTTATCAAGTGCCCTTTATGTGTCATGTTTTATAAATAAAAACAAAAGAACCATACAAGGTCCCTGTCCTAGAATCATAAGCACTCATTTTTGATGAATAGTATTTGATAATGAATAGCAATGATGCATTGCTTATATAGACATATACCTATATATATATATATAACATTTCATTTTATAACATAAGACACTGATATTTTATGCCATCTCCTTTCCTTTGTTTGTTAACATACTGTTAATTTGCAAATAATTTTTATATCTGCTGTTAAGACCACCACTATTTTCCATAACAGTGAATATAGCAATCCCTCTCTTACCCATCAGGCATATCTTCGAAGACCCCCCCGCAGTGGATGCCTGAAACTACAGATAGTACGGAATGTCATAAATACTATGTATTTTCTTATACATACATATATATGGTAAAATTTAATTTATAAATGAAAAACAATGAGATTAATAATAATTATAAAACAAAGCAATATACTGTAATAAAAGTTATATAAATGTGAGCTCCCTCTTTCTCTCTCTCAAAATGTCTTATTTTACTGTATTCAACTATTTTTATACCATGGTTGACTGCAGATAACTTAAGTCGTGGAAAGCAAAACCACAGATAATGGGGAACTACAGTAAATAAAATGATCAGTGACCCACTTTTCATTTGTCAATCCATTTATGAACCTGCCATAGCAATCTCAAGGTGAACTATGCAAACTTATATCTTATAATGAATCTTTCTGATTCTGAGTTTCTCAACCTTAATGTATTTTTAATATAACTACCTCTAGAGAAGTATTCTGCTGACAGCCTACTCACAGGGCATGTAAGACCCAGCACTCAGTAAACATTTTAGAATATGACAGGGAAAGGGCAATGTCTTCAGAATCACCAGGCATAATTCAGAATCAACACTTAAAAACTGTGTAGCCAAAAGCACAGTTAGTTTCTCCGATTTGAAGTTTCTTAATCACTAAGTCAATAATGCCCACCCCAGAGAATTTTACCATAGATTAAATGAGATAACATACACAAGACACTAGAACAATGCCTGGCACAATACATTTTGGCTATTATATCCTCTTCATCTTAATCATGTTTATATTACATATTTTTGTAATAGAAAGAATGAGTCAGGTCACAAAGACTGCAGGAAGATTTTGAGCATGAATGGAGACTATAGGAATTGGCTCCTCCATTACTCAAATAACCAAGAGAGAACTTCAGATGGACATGGAACAGGGTCAATAAACATGCTCTTTACAAATATGTGAAAAATATGAAAACAAATTATATAAGATGAAGAAAAATTTTGGCATACTTCTGGATACAATGTGGCAGAGTAAGAGTGAGAACTCTAGAGTTAGGCTGCAAGGTAAATGCCACAGTTCTATCATTAACTAGAAATGCCACAGTTCCATCACTAGCTAGCTTAGATAAGTTACATAAACATCTAGAGCTTCAGTATCCTCATCTATAAAGTGAATGACAAGTTCCTACCTATTGTGACAATTGGGTGACATTATACATGTAAAGTGAATAATGTCCCAAACACTGAAAATAAACATTAAGTGTTACCATACTTGTACACTAACTACTGGCAATCTGTTCTATAAAGACTTCTCTTGCTTTAACTGTGTTTTTTTTACACCTCTTTGGATGATTGCAACAACTATAATTTCTATGTAATATGTTGCATTTAAAGGCTAGATATCTATTCTGTAATCAGTAGTTTTTGTAAAACTTATTTTAAAAACAGATATCTGAAAATTGTTAGAAAGTACAAATCCTATGTTTGCAAAATATTTTTGTGAACATATAAATTTTTCATTTACCATTGTCAAACTGTAAACTAAGCTTTGAGAATTACTATCCTTATGATTAAAATAACCATAATTTATAACAATCTGTATTTCTATAAAATGATTCATATTTATTAAATGCAGAGCAGAGATGGTGAAGATGCAAAAGGACAGGCAAAACAAAATGGCTTGATATCATTAATCATTCCAATCATCAAAGATTAATGATTGCGCAGATTCCCTGGTCACCAAGCAACCTTCTACTTGTGAATGTGGTTCCCATGTAGATCACTCTGAGAAAAAAAAAATATATGGTTATGCTTATTCAAATAGTTCTATGTAATTTTTATAATTTTCTTTGTAAATTAATAAATGGAAATTCTGATGGTATTTGAAAAAGGACTTGAAAATAGTGTTTAATAAAAGAATTGTTACTTGCTGACGAAAAGCGCTAAATTTTGCTTGACTTATGCTTTAAAAAACACTACCATTTTAATTAAAAAGAAGACCATTACTGGTAGAAGCAGAATAAATGCTGGTAGAATCAATATGTTCATAAAGTGTGCGTGTGTGTGTGTGTGTGTGTGTGTGTGTGTGTTGATATATATGTTGATATGTATATCAACATATACTTTTAAAAAACATACAGATATTTTAGTAAATGAAAGTAAATGCTAAGAACACTACAGGAGGAACAACCATAACAGGTAAAAATTATATAAAGTAACCACTTAAATTATCAGGAAGTTTCCCTAATGACATGCAAAAAATGGAGAAACATTTATTCAGCAAAATCAAATAAATCTCAATAAGTGACAGTCTATGGCATGTGAGCCATGGCCCATTCCCTCCTACCCAGCTCAACTTTATGGAAGCTCTACTATCGGCATGTACAGACAAGAACACAGGGCTCTGTCTCCTCCTAGACCCAAGTTTAGGGCTACAGTTTCTTCCCAGGAGGAGCTGATCACCAGCCTTTCTCATCCTGCCCAGCCCATTGCTGCTGAAGCTCCACTGCAGGCAAGAACAGTCAAATGATCCCTGTTCCTTTCCTCTACTCAGCCTTACTCATAGAATGGAAGATCTACCCCCAGGCATAGCTGGCTGATAATACTGAGCCCTGAATGTCCTTGTTTCAGCAAGTTTACGGTGGAGGTTCAACATCAAGATAATATCAAGTTGACAAGAACAGAGGCTACTGCCCCTGCCAAGCATTCTACTCATTAGAGAAGGCTGTCATTCCTAGAGAAGTGAGCGACTTCCTGACCACCAGCTCTGGAACACTGGTGCAGGGGTACTGCCCAGAGAACGAGGCAAGCCAGAAGGAACTAATGCTCTATAGGTCTTCCTAAAAGATCTGGCTTTATTTGGGACAGGGCATGGGAAGTTCAAGTCTTGGGACACTGTTGTAAAGAACAAAGATTTTGATGGTGAGAAATTTAAGAGGAGACAGATAGCTTCATGAAAGCAAGAAATATAACAGTAAGCAAGCTAGAGTTTAACAGATAAAACCAGGAAAAGACACAACTAAAGAGCATTCCCAGGGTAGGAATAAGTCTCAAAGTCTCATTTCAAAAAATACCTCTGCAAAGGTGCCTAAATTTAATTGGATCAGACTGTAGAGCAATCTATGCACTAGGTATTGTCAAAAACAATGGAGCAATCAGCTAGCAATTAGTGAAGGCTAACAGATGGATATGATACCAGTAGATGCAGACTAGCTAGAAATTTAATAGGGAGAAGAAAGAAAGAGACAATCAAAAAGAGACTAACTAAAATCCACTGTCATCTCTTGAGAAGTTGATGGAGAACAAAGACCAGAGTGTGTGCATGCCCACGGTTGTGCCTCTTAGGAACAATATCAGAGATTGAATCCCATTGGGGAAATGGACTTCACCAAAGTTGTTGAGCAAAGTCACTAAACAGATAAACAAGTGAACAACAACAATAAGACTAAGGAAAATCTTGAAAGCATCAAGAGAAAAATGGTTTGTCACATATTAAGGAACCCCAATAACAATAACAGCTGAGTTTTCACCAAAAATAATGTAGAATATAAGGCAGTGGGATCACATATTCAAAGTTGAAAGGAAAAAAATCTCAATCAAGTATTTCATATTGAAACAATCTTTCAAAAATGTTGTTGAATAAAAACATTCTTTAATTAACAAAAACAGAATTCATTGCTAGCACATCTACTTCTCAAGAAATACTAAAAAAATTCTTCAAGCTGAAAGCAAGTGACACCCAACAATAATTTGAAACCCACTAAAAATTAAAATTTCAGTAAAGGTAATCATATTAGAAAGTATGACATACAATTGCACATTTCTTTCCATTCCTTTTCTTAACTGATTTTAAAAGCTATTTTTTACAATAATATGTACATAATTATATTGTTGGGCCTATGACATATAGAAATGTAACATATTTATAATAGCACAAAGGAATTGGCTGGGAAAAAAGCTGTAGTGGAGAAAAAATGACACCAAACAAAAAGTTAAATGACAAATCCAACCATATCACCAATTATATGAAACATGAATGTATTAAATAATCCAATCAAAAAGAGATTGTCAGACTAAATAAAAACAACAAAATTCAAAGTATGCCTTCTACAGGAGCCACATTTTAGATTCCAAGATGCAAAAACGAAGAAAGTAAAACTATACCATAAAAATAAAAATGACAGGAATGCAAAAATGGCTATATTAATATCAGACAAAATATATTATGAAAATTTAAAAGTTAGTAGAAATAGACACATTGAACAATTGAAAAAATGAAATAATACAAAAATATGTTCTCCAGCCACAAAGGAATAACATTAAAAATTAATTTTTTTAATTTGGAAAATTGGCCTAGTATTTGATAACACAACAGGGGCACTATAATCAATAATAATTTAATTGAACATTTAAAAATAACTAAAATAATATAAGTGGATTTTTGTAACACAAAGGATAAATGCTTGAGAGGATAGATGTACCATTTTCCATGATGTGATTATTATGAATTACATGCCTGTGTCAAAATACCTCATGTATCCCTTAAATATATGTACCCACAAAAATTAAAAATCTTAAAATAAAAAATTGGAAAATTTACAAATATATAAATAGTAAAAAACACGTTCTTATATTACCAATGTGTTAAAAAAGAAAAATAAATCAAAAGAGAAATTGGAAATACTTTGAGATTAATGAAGAAGAAAATAAAACTTGTGAGATGCAACTTAAGCAATGCTTAGAGCTATAACTATCCATAAACATATATAGGTTGAGCATCTCAAATCTGAAAATACAATATGCTCCAGAATCTGAAAGTTTTTATGCAAAAACATGATGCTCAAAAGAAATGCTCATCGGAGCACTTTTGGATTTCAAATTTTTGGATTTGGGTTGCTCAACCTGTATAATTCAAGAATTCCAAATTCTAAAAAAAATCTGAAATCCAAAGCACTTCTAATTCCATGCATTTCAGATACGGGATACTCAACCTGTATTTAAAAAGAAGCATCTCACATCAATAACATTATCTTTCACCTTAAGACACTGACCAAAGAAGACCAAATGAAACTTAAAAGCCAGCAGAATTAAGAAAATAATAAAGATTACAGCACAAACGGCTGAAATAAAACATAGAAAAACAATACAGTAAATCAACAAAATCAAACCTTTAAAAAGAACAAGCAAGAAAAATGAGAAAAGACTCAAATTATTTTTGAAATAATAAAAGATCACTACAAACCTCACAGAAATAAAAGAATTAAAAGGAATACTATGAACAACTGCATTCCAACAGATCATAACTTAGAAGAAATGGAGAAATTCCTAAAAAGATGTAAACTACCAAAATTGACTCAGAGTAAATAGAAAACTCTAAATACACCTATAATAAAGAAAAGAACAATGTCTTTTATTATTTTATATATAAAATCCTCAACAAAATACTAGCAAACATCCAGCAACATAATAAAAAGGTCATACACCATGAGGAAGTGGAATTTTTCCAGAAATCTAATGCTGGTTTAATGTCCAAAAATTAATCAATATAATATACCATATCAATCGACTAAAGAACAAAAAGCACATGTTTCTGTTATAGATGCAGAAACAGCATGGGACAAATTCCAACACAACTTTCATGATAAAAACTCTCAGCAAACTAGTAAGAACATCTCCTCAACCTGATAAGGATGTGTAGAAAAATCCCTGGCTATCATTATACCTACTGGTAAAAATCCAAATGCTTTCACATCTAAAATTAGAAAAAAATAAGACTGTTCAATATCATCATATTTATTCATTATTATACCGAACATTCTAGCCAGCACAAGTAGGCAAAAAGTAAAAATTTATAACACTTAAATAAAATAAAGGAATCCAGATTAGAAAAAAAGAAATAAATGTACCTCTATTTGCAAAGGGAATGATCTTATGATCTTATATTTTTAATAATTCCTAAGGAACACACATACACATACACAAACAAAAATAAACTATTGCAACTAATAAACAAGTTTGATAAGGTTGACAGATACAAGATGAATACACCAAAATCAATTGTATCTCTATACAGTAGAAAATAATCTAAAAATGAGTTAAGAAAATAGTCCTCCATTTACAGTAGCATTCACAAGAAAAAATCTCTAGGAATAAGTTTAATAAAAAGTGCAATACTTGTACTCTGAAAATGACAGAACATTATTGAAAGAAATTGAAGACATTTGATGGTCATTGATTAGAACACGTGTTATTACAAAGATGACAAATCACCCCAAACTGATACAGATTCAACACAATCCTTGTCAAAATCCCAACTGCCTTTTTAAAATTGCAGAAATTGATAAGCTGCTGCTAAATTTCATATGAAAATGAAGCCACAATAGCCAAAACAATTTTGAAAAAGGGAACAAAGTTAGTGAACACACAGTTTCCAATTTCAAAACTTACTACCAAACTACAGTAATCATGACACTGTGATACTGGCATAAGGACAGATATATAAAGCAGTGGAACAGAACCAAGAGTACAGATAGCCCTTATATTTTTGGTCAGGTGATTTTTAACAAGGGTGAGAGGGAAAATCAATGGAGGAAAGAATTGTCTTTTCATCAGATGGTCCCAGACCCAGGGACAAAACAATGAAGTTTAACTTCTTTTCCTGCACTCTACACAAAAAGTGAATCAAAATAGATCTTAAGCCCAAATGTAAGTGCTAAAGCTATAAAAGTCTTAGAAGAAAATGGGAGTAAATCTTAACAACTTTGAGTTAAACAAAACCTTCTTAGATACAATGCCAAATGTATAAGCAAAAGTAAGCATATAAATAAATTAGACTTCATCAAAATTACCAACTTTGTTCTGCAAAAGATACCATCAGGAAGGTAAAAGCCCAGAGAATGGAAGAAAATATTCGCAAACCATAGATCTAATAACAAATTATCTATAATATTTTAAGGACCTCTCAACTCAAAAATACAACCCAATTTTTTTAAAAAAGGCAAAGAATCTAAATCGATATTTATGCAAAGAAGATATATAAATGACCCCAAGGACATGAAAAGATGCTCAACATAATTAGCCATTAAGGAAATGCAAATCAAACCCACAATGAGGCACCACTTTATGCCCACTAGGATGGTTATAATAATGGAGATTGATATTAATAAGTGTTCTCCAGATGGTAGAGAAACTGGAATCGTCCTGCATTGCTGATGGAAATATAAAATGGTGCAAGTGTGTTGAAAAACATGTTGGCAGTTGCGCATGAATGTTCATAGCAGCATTATTCATAATAACCAAAAAGTGAAAATAACTCAAATGTTCATCAATGGATCAATAAAAAAATACATGTGGTAGATCCATACAATGGAATATTATTCAGCAATAAAAGGAATAAAGTACTGATACATGCTACAACATGGATGCACCTTGAAAACATTATGCTAAGTGAAAGGAGCCAGTCACAAAAGACCACATATTGTATGTTCTATTTATATGAAGTGTTCAGAATAAGTAAATCTATAGAGACAGAAAATATATTAGTAGTTGCTCAGGGCTGGGAGAGAGTGGAGAATATTGTGGGTGATTGCTAATAAGAATTGCATTTCTTTTGGGGGTAATGAAAATGGTTTAAAATTTACTCTGAGTTGCACAATTCTGTGAATATACTAAAAAATCATTGAACTGTATACTTTAAATGGTTGACTTGTTTAACATGTAAATTACATCCTGATAAAACTATTAATAAGCAATTTGATATTATCAACTGTTATCCTAGCAAGCTTTGCATTGACAAAATTAGTAATCTCTAAAGGTAGCCACCCCTGTCTCTAGTCGATGGTCTTCCCTTTTTAAACATGGCAAGTAAGAAGTTCAAGTTGTTACACAGATCAGCTTTCTTGTCTGGTGGGTTATATACGAGTAGGGCTGTGGAATACAGTACTATTTGAGGAATTAAAAAGAAGTATGCCATGTCTTTGCCACAAATGATTTTATTTTCCTGTAATTATAATCTAGACATTTGCTACTGCAGTCTATGACTCAACAAAAATAATTAAGATTTTAAAAATTCTGGCCAGGCATTGTGGCTCATGCATGTAATCCCAGCACTTCTAGGAAGCCAAGGCGGATCGTCTGAGATTAGGAGTTTGAGATCAGCCTGGGCAACATGGTGAAACCCTGTCTCTACAAAAAAAACACAAAAATTAGCTGACTGTGATGGCGTGCACCTGTGGTCCCAGCTACTTGAAAGGGTGAAGTGGGAGGATCGCTTAAGCCTAGAAGGTCGAGGCTTCAGTGAACGGTGATCACACCACTGCACTCCAGCCTGGGCAACAGAGTGAGAAACCGTCTCAAAAAAAAAAAAAAATCTAAAATTCTACACATAAATCAGTCAATGCTAAGAAAATTGATCATTTAAATCCACCCTCCTCTAGACCTTGGTAGAATACAAGATGTAGCAGAGAAGTAGCATCGGAGAGTTACAGGGTATTTAATGGTGGCGCATACCCAACATTTACCTAAGGACCTGAGCAGAAGGTTAGTGTTAAGTGCCCAAGCTTTTGAAGCTCTCTACATACTGATGTGTACATTACTGACAAAATGTGTCATGATTCAGAGGCAGGGTCTGTAGTACAGGACCAGCAAAGCAAAACCCACTTAGGAAGCCAGAAGCAAGGAATACAGTCAAGTGACATTAAGAACCTGCTAATGCATGTGAAGTTATCATCAGAAATTTTTTATGTCCAGCTTTTCATCATTACTTTTATAATTTAATACATTCATTCAATACATATTTATTAAGGACCTGTTGTGTGACACGCCCTAGGAAAACAATGGTATGCAAGAGAGACAAGGTCCTTCTGCCAGTGTTATATGTACTTGTTTCTAAAGTCCTTTACCAATTTACCATGTGTTTTATTTTCAACACATGCATATATAGAACTTTGAAACCTATAAATCTAATCAAAGAAATAGCTAAATATATTTGCCCAACTTATTCAAACTAATATAATATACAACTCCTGCCAGTATTTTATTTAATGAATGTAGACAGCTGAAATAATTTTTAAATTTTGTCTCTGTCGTATTTTTTGACCCAAAAAAGATATATTGGCAATACTGGAAAATTTATGGTAAATAATATCTTTCACTACAGGTTGGGAAATTGCTTCATTCTAAAGATCAGATCAAAAATGCTTTTTTCAAAAAAAACCATAAATAAGAACCAGCTAGTCTAAAAATAAAAGAAGTGCAAAGGAGGAATTCATATATAATATATATAAAACTGACTATATATTAAAATAACTGTAGAATTCATTTAATAGCCCAGATATCTCCCTATAAATACGTAATTTATTATATATTCCTAATTATACGTTTAGTCTGGATTTACATTATACTAAGATGGTCGCTTCCATTCTCTCTTGGTATAGAAACATGTTTTCCAAATTCAAAGTAGCAGTACTAATTTTAAATGATCTGTAATACTTTCTCAGTTTTCAAACTAAAAATCCCATGTTTACATTAACTGATTAGTTTAATTCTATGGAAAATTATGCTTTAAAATAAAATCTGATGGTGTGAAAAGTCAGTCACTTTAATATTCACTGCATTTCTCACAACAAGTTTTCTTCAATATATTTTCTTGTTATATTTTCTATCTATATTATTCCGATATTGTTGTGAATTATTATTCACATAGCAACCAGGATGTATCAACAACTACGACAAGTTCCCTTTTACCTGTCCTCAACTCTGTACGAGATAAGAATTTGATAAAGATTTTATGCCTAATGTTTGCTATGGGATGGAGCTGCAGTTTTGCTTTCCACAGTTTCAGTCACTCGCTGCCAATGGCAATCTAAAAATATTAACTTGAATATTCCATAAATAAACAATTCATTAGTTTTAAATTATATGCCATTCTGAGGAGCATGATGAAATCTCACAGTATCCTGCTTTGTTCCTCATGTGAATCATCCCTTTGTCCAACAGATTCATGCTGTAGGCGCTACCTGCCCTTTAGTCATTTTGTAGCTGAGTAGGTTATCATATCAACTGTGCTTGTGTTCAAAGAACCTTTTTTTTACTTAATAATGGCCCCCGTGATGCTGGCCATTTGGATATGTCAAAGAGAAGCCGCAAAGTGTTTCCTTTAAGTGAAAAGGTGAAAGTTCTCAACCTAATAAAGAAAGAAAAAAAAACCCTATAGTGAGGTTAGCTAAGATCAACAGTACAATAAGATATTTTGAAAGAAAGAAATAGACCACATTCACATAACTTCTTACATAGATGTTATAATTGTTCTATTTTATTATTAGTTATTGTTAATCTCTTACTGGGCCTAATTTATATATTAAACTTTATCATAGGTACATATGTTGGGAATTAGAAAGTATGCTTTATGAAAGCAGGGATTGCATCCATCTGTTTTCATTGCTGTACCCAGCAGTGAAATAGAATACCAAGCACCAGCAGAGACTCAATAAACATTTCAAGCAATAAATTTTTACTGAGAACAGGAGAAAAAGAGTTCCGACAAAAGCCATTCTTGTTGGACTGGGTTTACTACATGCTCTTATAGTAGTCCATTGTTAGTTGAGAATTAACTACAGTGTTTTTATTTGTATCTCCTAAAAATAAGAGGAATTGTATAAAAATGAGTAAACTTTGTATTTTAGTCAGCAAGGCACTAAAAATGATAAGTACAGAAACAAAGGCACATGTTAACAAACCAATCAAACCAAACAGGGTTGAAATTTGATTTTGCCACTTTTTAACTGTACGACCTTGAAAAAAGTTTGACTTGTCTGAACCTTAATTACCTCATGTGTAAAATGAGGAATACACACACACACATACACATTATTTTTAAGGACAAAATGTTGCTAAAAATCAAAATGGTAATGTGTGAAATGTAACTATAAAATTGCAGATGCTTAATAAAGACTACATTATCTTTGAAATACCAATCCACAATTAGCCACAGGATGTCAGTTGATCAACTGGCTTGTAATCCTAGTAAATAATAATTCTCCCTCCTATGACAGGCGTGACTATTTCAGGATGACTGAATATTTACAGAACAATATTAACTATCTTATCTCTAATTTCCATTTATAGTTATTCCCTAAGGAGAAAACAAACACACAAAAGGCTGCTTTTTTTTCACTTTTCTTAGGCTATTAGATTCCTTGTGGTTGCAAATATTTTATAATGTGTTCTTGGACAACTAAATTAGATAGAAAAGCCCAACATTTTGAGCTAAAAATCATCACTGCACTTGTCCTTTTCACCCTTTGTTTCACAAACACCAGAAGGTGAAGGAGAGAGTATATGAAGTTGGTCTGAAGGAAGTCAGTTATAGAGCCAAAAACAGAAACACTATAAACTGTTTCAACTAAAAATTCTTCATATATAGATCCATGTACCCATTTGGAAATATAACATAAAGGTTACCTTGATGTTCAATCGTCATTTTTACAAAAGTGCTCTGATTTTTACAAGACATAAGAAATAAAAACTCTGTAGTTAATTCTACACTAACAATGGGCTGTTATAAGAGCATGCGATAAGTCCAACCCAACAATAATGTCTTTTTCCTGACCTCTGTGACTTATAAGAAGGAAGCCTAAAGATCCTACCATGACCTTAGAGAAGGGGTCAGCTACCAGCACCTTGTTTCAGCTGAGGACACTAATTACACCACAAAAGAACAGCAACAAAAATCAGGCTAAATTTTTTCAAGAGCTATAAAGCATTGGACATATTTAGCCTAAAAACATAATGAAAATTATTTTTTAAATGTCATTCACAATTTAAAAACTGTGTGAACAAGTAGGCCTTTCATGATGTTTAAAATTCCCTTGATTTTTCTTTCTAAAAATTCAGAAAAATATAATCTCCAGTACATACAATAATCAGCATCAAATATATCACTTTAATATTTCAAATTAAAAGAAGCTACATTTGTTGTGCATCGTTTTGATGCCAGTTACTTTTTTATTCATTACTACAGTTAATCCTCATAAAAACCTTACATGAAGAGATAGTATTATTTTTATTTTGTAAGTGAAGAAACATCTTAATGAGATTACTCTGTGGCTAAATTCACAGAGCTAATGACAGAGCTGGAATTCAAACCAAGGTCGTGTGACTCTAAAGCTCATTTTCTATTCACCTGTCTATGATACCTCTAAACATATTTCTAAGCAATTTTTATGACATATACATTTTTAGACTGATATGGTTAGGCTTTGTGTCCCCACGCAAATCTCATTCTGAATTGTAATCCCCAGGTGTTGAAGGAGAGACCTGGTAGGAAGTGACTGGATTATGGGGGCGGTTTCCCCATGCTGTTCTCATAATAGTGAGTGAACTCTCATGAGATCTGATGGTTTTATAAATGGCAGCTTTTCCTGCATCCTCACTTCTCTCTCCTGCCACCACGTGAAGAAGGTCCTTGCTTCCCCTTCCCCTTCTGCCATAATTATAAGTTTCCTGAGGCCTCCCCAGCCATGTGGAGCTGTGAGTCAATTAAACCTCTTTCCTTTATAAATTACCCAGTCTCAGGTATTTTTTTATGGCATTGTGAGAACAGACTAATACATAGGTCTTTCTAGCAAAGCATTTAACCTCTGCCTGATAATATCACAACAGTTCCTTATTAAAACAATTGATAAATGTTTCTAATGCTGGACCATTTGTCAGGGCACTTACTGATGAGAATGTAATATTTCTTATTCTAAACTGGTAAATTTGCCTATTAAAACAGACTCATCTTGCCAAGTTTAGAAACTCCATGAGTCCATTAAGCATCTTACTTGTTACATTTAGCAAAACTCTATCTCATAATTTTCTCTCCACTCACAATAGTCAGATGTTTAACCTACAATATCTGTTAAATAACCTCTGTGTGCAGCCTCTCTCATTAAGAGAAAATAATACAATCTTTAAGAAACTCGTTTTCTAATTGGAAAAGTATGATAAATAATCCTCAAAATACTCAAAATATTCATTGGTATAATGAGATAACAGAAAACAAAAGGGATTATTCACTATTGTGATAATTATTTTCATTTCTATTCTAGTTAAGAAGCAAAGTTTAATAAGAATCTATAAATAAGTCATAACGTTGAAATAAACACACTTAATTTTTGTTATGTGTACCAAGAGGTTAACAGGAAAATACCAGTGAATGCTACAACAGCGAAAAAAAAAAAGGTTCCCACTTGTAAGAGAAGTAATAATTTTTTAAAAAATTATAATATATTCACCCTGCTTATTTATGTCACATTTTCGTTTTCACCTGTGTATGCACTTTAGGGAAAAACATAATGAAAGTCAAGTGACTATATATGTAATGGAAATTACCAGCTGAGGGCTGATATGGTGGCACATGTCTGTAACCCCAGCGCTTTGGGAGGTTGAGACTGTAGGATTGTTTGAGGCCAGGAGTTCAAGACTAGCCTGGGCAACAAAGCAAGACCCCCCACCTCCCCAAAATAAAAAATAAAAACATGGCCGGGAGCAGTGGCTCACACCTGTAATCCCAACACTCTGGGAGGCTGAGGCAGGTGAATCATGAGGTCAGGAGTTCAAGACCAGCCTGACCAACATGGTGAAACCCCATCTCTACTAAAAATACAAAAATTAGCTGAGCATGGTGGCACGCTCCTGTAATCCCAGCTACTCAGGAGGCTGAAGCAGGAGAATTGCTTGAACCCGGGAGACGGAGGTTGCAGTGAGTCTAGATTGTCCCACTGCATTCCAGCCTGGGCAACAGAGCGAGACTCCATCTCAAAAAAATAGTAAATAAATAAATAAGTAAATAAAAACAGGACTGGCATAGTGATGTGCACTTGTAGTCCTAGCTGCTTGGGAGGCTGAGGCAGAAGGATTACTTCAGCCCAGGAGTTTGAAGCTGCAGTGAGCTATGACCACACCACTACACTTCAGCCTGGACAAGAGACCAAGATCCTATTTTAAAAAAAAAAAAAAAAAAAGAGAGAGAGAGAAAAGAGAGAGAGATCAACTAGCTGAATATTCAGTCTTTAAATTCCACATGGAATTTATGAAATTATCAAGTCCCCAGCACATCAAGAACCAAGCAGTTTCACTATTTTTAATTTTTAGAAGCCACACTATGTAGTAGAAAGGGCCTGGGCTTTGAGGATGTGCAATCTAAGATTTGTATCTCTGTTCATTACTTTTGGCTGTATGACCTTGTGCAAGTCCCTTGTGGTGTTTGAACTTGTATTTAAAACTTACAACAGGTCCTGAATAATTTGTATCTTAGTGAAACGATCAGTAAAAACAACTAATTGTGTGCATATCAGTCACATACCTAGTGGACACTCAATAAACGTGCTCTATAATTAATTGTTATCCTTATAACCAAAGGGGAAAAATCATTTTTGTAAGCTTAGTTTTCACAGAGCCATGGAAATGATGCATTTTGTGGTTATCTGCTAACTGATAGCTTACTACATTGTTCACTAGGTTCATGTTCTTGTCCATCATTTTATTATCTCTTCAATACACTCATTTATTATCATCATCCTTTTCATATGCTTTTTTGTTCTAAATAAATTGTATACTTTTGACTCAATTATTTTGTACATTTCTTCGTACTATAGTATAAAAAATATCAACAGTTTAAAAGCTACAGATTTTAAGTTCCTTAACATTGGGAATAGTGCCTAAGAGTACTCCTAGGTCCACTACATTTATGCTTTGTTCTTTTCTTTTCTTTTCTTTTTGAGACGGAGTCTTGCTCTGTAGCCCAGGCTAGAGTGCACTGGCACAATCTCGGCTCACTGCAAGCTCCGTCTCCCATGCTCAGATGATTCTCCTGCCTCAACCTCCCAAGTAACTGGGATTACAGGCATGCACCACCATGCCCAGCTAATTTTTTTTATTTTTAGTAAGACCGGATTTCACCATGTTGGCCAGGCTGGTCTTGAACTCCTGACCTCAAGTGATCTGCCCACCTCGGCTTCCAAAAGTGCTGGGATTATAGGTGGGAGCCACTGCGCCCAGCCTATGCTTTGTTATTTTCATGGTAGATAAAGGTAAATTCATTCACAGATCTTAAATTCAGGGTTAGTAGATTTAACTAACTAGATTTGATGATAGAAGATTCTTAGAATACAATTTCATACCAAAGCATATTTCTTGTCCTATAATCATTCCATTACTAATTTTATAGATATGAATCATAATAGTTTTTATAGCATCACCTATTTTCCATATTACAATTAAACCATTTGTACTTAAGTATTAGTTTCTCAATGTTAATGCTCCTGCAACACTCTTAAAAATGTAATTGCTAACAATTTATCTGTTGGATTTATTCATGTTGGCATTTTTTTAACCACGTGTATCCCTTTCCTTCTTTTCCCTAAAGAAAAAAAAATAACACCCTAAGGAAAGATTACAAATCCAAAGCAAATTGTCAAAGGAATAACAGTGTTTCTAGAAAGGATTTTTTTTCTTTTAAGAAAGAATAAATGATGTATAACAAAAGTGTTCTGGCTGCTAGGAAAATAAAATGTGATTGCCATTGGTAATTCCTATGTTAAAGCAACAATAGACATAAATATTGTGAATGATTTACCATCTAGCTGTTACTGTCGTTCATAATAAACCACCATTATCTAGGAATTATTAATATGTATCTTTGTAAATATCATATTTGATACCGGCATGCACCTCTTTACCTGTCTCTTACGTATACATAATATATAATAGTTGGCAACTCATTCATACATGATTACAACAGTATATGAACATGAAAGTAAATGATAGCACCTATAAAGCACCAGAAAGCAGTCACTAATAACATTTTCTCACCTAAACCACAATAGTGGTTGTACTAATAACAGAGAAAAACAATGACTGACTAGTAACAAATTGATCTATGCACTCGCATGCTCCTTAGTGCCCTATCATCAATATTGCTCTTTAGCTTTGTGAAATGAACTATGTGCTATTACTAGTGCACACTCTGGGGCTAAACAGTTTCCTCACTTGCTTATAAAAGTGATTTAAATGGTTTTAATTAGAATAGAGTCTATTGATACACCATGAATTCCTTTGACTAAAGCTGCTCAAACACTCAAAGAATTTGAGCATATTTACAGTGGTATATGTAGACAGGCTTTCATTCCCACTGCAGAGAGCTATAGGTGGTGTCTTTGAAGGATATGGTGAAAAATAAGCACAGGCCTAAGATCAGCTACTGAAAACTAGGATAATGTGACTAATCCAGATGGACAAGTCCAAGGGGCTAAAATTGGGCACCTGAAAGCAACATGACATTCTTACGGCATTTAGAGTTGTCATTTTTGCCACAATATTAGCTATAACCAGCACCTAAATGTAAGGCAATGTGTGCTAGTTATGAATTAATTGCCTCCCAGCTCCAAATGCACTTTTCCACAAATATATGTCCTATGATCATAGATAGAATTCTTTTAAGTATTTCTTCTTTACAATGGGTGTGATGCTGAGTGTTCCCAGTAGAGGAAGCTGGAGGGACACTGCAGGAGGAAGGGGCTCTTCCATGACTTCTGGTGACACAGGAGTCAGTGATTTGGGTAGAGGTGTGAGGACATTCAGTGTAGCCCTGCCAAGCCATGCAGGGTATAAGAACGTGTGGTTGCTTGCCAATCTTGCAGTCTCAAGCTAGAGACAATCTTCCCAAGGCCTTCTCCAGAAAGAAATGCCCATCAGAGTCAGAATTCCCTCTGTAGGGCTATGGGCCATCTACCTGAAGCCCCCTCCCCTCTGGCAGTCCTCCTGAGTCCTACTGAGTCCACTACAGGCCCCATACTCTTCCCTGGAGGGTGCTCATGTCCTCTGAAACATAGCCACTGGTTTGGTTATCCATGCCGACTATTCTACTGGCCGCCAGCTTGCCCCATGACTATGGGCCATCTCTGGATGCTCAGCCAAACTCGAAAACTTCTCTGCTCTCCAGTGAGATGAATTACACCTTCTCTTTAAGATCTGATCCTCTTCCAAGTTTGTCATTCTTTGGTTACACTCCTTTAGCTTCAGGGTACCACTTAGGTTTCTCTATATCTTAGAGAGAAGTTACTCTTTTGTCATACTTTAATAATATTTTTAAATTAAACTCACTAGTTTAACCTACTATGTGGTTTTCCTCTTCAAAGTGGACTAGTTGATACACAATTCTTCTAAAACTTGGTATTGAATCAATCTGATTATGATTCACATTTGGAAATAATTACAAGCTACAACTAAGAACAAATAAAAATACAGAATTGGGGCAGGTGCAGGATCGTGCCTATAATCCCAGTACTTTGGGAGGCTGAAGCAGGAGTCACTTGAGACCAGGCGTTCGAGATTAGACTGAGCAACAATGCAAGAGCCCACATTTACAAAAAAAAATTAAAAATAATTAGCTGAGCATAGTGGTGGCTAAGGCAGGAGGACTGTTTGTGCCCAGGAGTTGGAAGCTGCAGTGAACCATAATTGTACCACTGCTCTCCAGCCTAAGTGACAGAGTGAGACTCTGCCTCTAATATATATATAACAGATCAATCTATTTAAAAGGAAAAATCAGTTGACTACACATTACAGTATCAAGTAAATGAGTTATTTTGAATATTAGCTAATAGTAGGGCTTAAATTTCAAATACATAGTGGCAATTTTTTACATTAACGTGCTGATCTTTCTATGTCAAAGATCAATGCATAAAGTGCAGTATATGTCTCAGTATCACTGAAGTGATCAATATAACTGACTGTAGCCTTCAAAATTGGTGTTGTTTACAAAGATTAACTCCTATGGGATGTATGTTTATTGTTTCCTAATTAAAGTCCAAGTGTGCTTTTAATCATGTTAAACAACTACTCAAAAAATGTGTTTTTGTTATTGACTAAAACTTTCTGGCTGGGCACGGTGGCTCACACCTGTCCCAACACTTTGGGAGGCCCAGGCAGGCGGATCACCTGCGGTCAGGAGTTCGGAACCAGCCTGGCCAACATGGTAAAACCCCGTCTCTACTAAAAATACAAAAATTAGCTGGGTGTGGTGGCAGATGCCTGTAATCCCAGCTACTCAGAAGGCTGAGGAAGGAGAATCGCTTGAACCTGGGAGATGGAGATTGCAATGAGCCGAGATCATGCCATTGCACTGCAGCCTGGGCAACAAAGTGAGACTCTGTCTCAAAAAAAAAAAAATTAATGCTAGAAGAAATCCACCAAGCTAATATTTTAAAAAGACTGTTTTCAGAAGATTTAATTCCTATAGAGCTCCATTACAGACAAAACAAAACAAAATCCAAAAGTAAATGTTCTTTATAGTATTACAGAGATCATATTGTTCAAACTGTTCATCTTGATTCTTTCAGATGTATGTGTGTGTATGTGCGCACGAGTTGAGGGGGTGTGAGAAGGAAGTGATAGGTACCCACGGCAGAAAAAAGTCACATTCAACCAGGACAGCTCTGTTTCAAGGGCAGTATCACCTGACAGTAGAAAACAGTTTAGGGTTAAAAACAAAAGCACTAACAAAACCTGCATCCTAAGCAAAATATTTCATAGAAAATGTTAGCTGTTGCATTATTTTATTTGGCAAGCTTGTTTTTCCTATGTGAGTCTTCAATACCATTTGTACAATGCCAGACTGAGCTCTCTAATACCTCACAAGCTTTACTTCATTAAGACCTTCTTGTAATCTAAAGGAATCATGTGAGGACCCTTAATAAGGTATGCAACAGAAGCAATGATTAACAGAACCCCAGACTACTCGATCACTAAAATACCATTCCTGGAGTGGATTGCTGGACATCACCATACCCCTACCTCCCCATTATCCCAGATAAACAACTGAAGTTATATAAGGTACAAGGGCTTCAAAAAAAAGGTTTGACTTTTTGAGCTACAGTAATCATTTTTTTACAAACAATGTATTCTGACAGGATTTTCCTTTTCTTATCAGCACCCTGGGATTAATATAGGTTCTCATTACCAGCACCTAGCCCAAGAATTCTCTTTCTGCTGTTGAAGGCTCGGATAAACATACAATCATTTTCACAAACACTCTAGGGAGCAAGACCACAATTTTGATTAAGAAAACTGTTGAATATTAACTAGCAGGGCTCACTGAGCAACTTGTCCTTGAAAAACACACTACACTAAACCTATTCTCAGGGAGAAATGTTGGTGTTTGACAGCTGCCACTACTCTGGAAACCTAGAATACATCTTATTATGGTAGTAGTCTTTCAGTAAAATCACCATAATTAAGATGTTGTCGTTATTTTCAATTTAACGTTCCTCTTTCACAGGTTCATAAATTCAGACGTTAAGAAAAAGTCCACCCTACGGTAGAATTCAGTTCAGACAACACTGGCTTCATATATAGGTAGGTTGTGGGCCTTCCATTTCCAAAGACTTCCCATATAGTTATGGTTTTAATTGATTATTTCCCAAATTGTTATTTTGCCTTGTTTTAATTTTCTAAGGATGTATGAATGGAAGTTTCTGTGGCCTATACGACAAAGATTAAAATTGATTTTAATCTTTTAAAATTTTCTTGGAAAAGCTATTGAGAAACACTCTGCTCAAGTAAGAGCTCTGAATTCAACTACTTTCAAATCTCATCTCCTTAAACAGGTTTACAGCATAAGAAAAACATTTATCTAGGAAAAAAACTCTAAGCACAGCACAGAAAGTTCTTACACATACTGTTAAAAGGAAACGAAAACATTAAATGCAGATGACAGAGGGGATATTAAGTACTCATAAACTCTAATATTTATAAATGCCATTTGTCTTCCTACAAATTTCGAAATTCTTACTCTACAATTTTAAGTACATTAAGAGAACATTAGCATCTTCATGCAGATAAAAGACAGAAATTCCCATTAAAAACTAAAAATGAAGGAGAATCAGAAATGTAAGACAATTATATTTGATTTCTCTCTGCACTGCTTTCTCATCTTTATTTTACCTATAAATAGACTTCTTTACAATATACTCTGGCATGTAGCTCGCAAAATATAACAAAACCCATATCCATATTGAGATGTTTAAACACAGTACCATCACTGGTTTGTTTTTTATGAATCATATACTAACACATTTTTCTTTCATTCCAACTTTAAAATTAAGAAAACCTAATCAAATAAAAAGAAAAATGCGTGCTAAATATACACACATACACACATATAGGATACACATATACACACACAGTATGACAACATCTAACATGTTATGATAACTTTAAATATAAATACATCCCAAAATTCCCGCAAATTTTTTAATAAAATTACATTCCTAAAAACAATAACATTTCTCATGAAATTTACTGAAAAAAAAAATTAGAGTCCTAGATGCAAATTCACTCCACAAATCAATAATTTGGAAAACCAAGAACCTCACCTTATTCTAAATGCAAATTACTTACCATATTATTTACCAATCCCCATATTCTCAATTAGGGAAAATAAAACACAAAACTCTCAATTGTTATTATCCCAGGTGGAATAGAAATATAAACTTTCACTGGCCTCAAATAAGAAAACAGATTGTTTCGCCCTTAAGAAAAATAAAATAGTCCTTGATGCAGAATATCTTCATCAAGATTTTAATACAACTTTTTCTTTTACCCCCACCCCCTGTCCCACTAAACTACTGGTAAACAATTTGTTTTGTAAGCATCTGGCATAGAACTTAGAGCTCTTTTCTCCTCATATGCTTTTCTCGATTAAGAAAAAAGTTCAAACAGGCTTTTGCTTTCAGTTAAGACAATAAAGAATTCAACAACATAAGATTCTTTTCCTCCAGTTAAAAATTCTTTATTTTAGCCAGGCGCAGTGGCTTACGGCTGTCATCCCAACATTTTGCGAGGCCACAGCGGGAGGACTGCTTGAGCTCAAGAGTTCAAGAGCAGCGTGAGCAACATCTCTACAAAAAATTAAAAATTAGCCAAGCATCGTGGCATGCATCTGAAGTCCCAGCTACTTGGGGGCACTAAGGTGGGAGGATGTCTTGAGCCTGGGAGGTCAAGGCTGCAGTAAGCCATGATCATGCCACTGCATTCCAGCCTGGGAGACACAATGAGACACTCTCTCAAAAAAAAATTACTTATTTTGCATGTTTTTAGTAAATAGAGCTTTGTAAATTTGAATGCTGTTTTCTTATTTTCCAGGTTTGATAGACTATTGCCCTTCTTCTGAGTTAGGGTTGGAAGCAAAAGTAAAAAGTAAACCACTCCCACTAACAAAATCATCTTGTCCCTTGGTAAGCTTTTTGATATGAGGTATATGAATTATTGACAGAGCTTCAAATATAGACCTGAATTTTTGAACTCTAGTATTTTTTTTTTTACAAAAGCACACTGAAACCACTCTTGGTTAATACCAAAGCTATTTACACTTGCATAGTAATTCTTTAATAATTATCATGATTCAATTTTTGCACAGATAACTAAGTATAAATTTATATGTTTCAGGATTATGAAATGTGAGTGATTTCTTTCAAACTAAAATATCTAATGTAGTTAAGACTAAATTATGTTCATTCTAGGGTTCGAGTGTTTATGTTCCTGTTTCCAGGGCTAGTGGATCATTGCATGAAATAAGAGCCTATGGGAAAAGAAATCTCAGAGGAAGAAGGGAAAAGAAAAACGAGGTGCACATGTTTGGTTCAAGGCCAGTTGTCCCAGATGCTAGAGAAGATAAAACATACCTCCAATTGTCTTCTATCCCAGGCTTCATGGGCTTAAGCTTGAGTCCTAAGGCAAAGGATCTACAGGTAATGAGCAAGTGAAATCTAAAAGCAGCTGCTTGTCTATGGAATCACCCTGGGACATGGAGAGCCCAAGGCATCAGCAGAATTGGCACTGGCAGCAGCAGGGCTTGCAGTGTTGGCAGCAGCACTAATGACAGCAGCGGTGCAGTTAGTGATAACAACATATTTGGCAGCAGCAAGAGTTCATTTAACTCCTTATACATTAGCTCCCTGCACCTCGAGCATACACAGCCCCGGTCTCGATGGTAACAGAGATGGCAGACAACAGTAGAAGCCGCAGCAGCAGCAGTTTCTTCTGTGCTAACCAGCAGCACTTTCGTCTCCCAGTGACTGAGAGCAGAGCAAAGGAAGTAGGAAAATAGAAAAGTTGAGGAAACATAATGGTCATGACGGGATGGAACTTACAGCCAGCCATAACTGGGTTAAAACTAAGGACTGCCATTTAATTATCACACAGTTTTTAAAAGTGAGTTACAGTGACACTGCTCAAATTTAACCTCTCTATGCCTCAAATTTATTGTGTATAAGATGGAAATAATAACAGTCCCCATCTAATATGATTGTGATAATGTTTAATGAGATAATTTAAATAAATAACTTAGCAGAGTATCTGTCAGATAATAGGGACTCAATAATGATCAGCTTGAAAAATGTAGAGGGCAACTCAAAAACTCAGTGTGCCTTGAGGCCTATTTCTTCCCACCAGGTCTCACAGAATGTATCAATGGACTCCAGAAGCATTTTCAAAAGAATAAGAAAGGTTGGGCCAGGCGCAGTCGCTCAAGCCTGTAATCCTAGCACTTTGGGAGGCCAAGGCGGGCGGATCATCTGAGGTCAGGAGGCCAAGACCAGCCTGGCCAACGTAGTGAAACCTCATCTCTACTAAAAATACAAAAATTAGCTGGGCGTGGTGGCGGGCACCTGTAATCCCAGCTATTTGGGAGGCTGAGGTAGGAGAATTGCTTGAGCTAGGGAGCAAAACTTTGCAGTGAGCTGAGATCATGCCATCACACTCCAGCCTGGGTGACAAGAGCGAGACACCATCTCAAAAGAAAAAAAAAAAAAAGAATAAGAGAGGCTGAGGTACGCAGAGGCCCACCCAGATAAATGTTAAATTTCAGCAATTATTTTTGCCCTAGATCCCCCTGTATAAATACAAGAGGTCTGGAAATACAAAGGCTGCCTAATATTATTATTTTCGGATTTAAAATTTCAAACCTCAAAAGTATTTGTTTTCCATTGATATCATATAAGCACAACATTTTTTAAATGTTTATTTTTAAAAGTAACCTTAAAACACTTTATTACATCTCAAGATTAAGAAGTAAATTTCAGCACATTTTAATAGAAACAACGTATGTAAGAAAGGCATAATTTAATTGTGTCCAATAAATGATTTTTATTATTTATGTTGTTATGTGCTAATTATCCAAGATCTCAGTGCATCATTCATATTGAAACATATTAATAGAACAAAATAAAAAAATACTTTTCAAATGATAATAAACAGCACCATGATTTCTACTGCTTTTTCTATAATAATTTTCTCTTTTTTTTTTTTTTATGGCCACTTCACTGCGAAGGCTTTTATACCCTCAAGATTGGTCTAAGGTTCATAAGGCCAGTTTGTTTTGTTTTTTTTTTTTAATTTATTATTATTATACTTTAAGTTTTAGGGTACATGTGCACAATGTGCAGGTTAGTTACATATGTATACATGTGCCATGCTGGTGTGCTGCACCCACTAACTCATCATCTAGCGTTAGGTATATCTCCCCATGCTATCCCTCCCCACTTTCCCCACCCCACAACAGTCCCCAGAGTGTGATGTTCCCCTTCCTGTGTCCATGTGTTCTCATTGTTCAATTCCCACCTATGAGTGAGAATATGCGGTGTTGGGTTTTTTGTTCTTGTGATAGTTTACTGAGAATGATGATTTCCAATTTCATCCGTGTCCCTACAAAGGACATGAACTCATCATTTTTTATGGCTGCATAGTATTCCATGGTGTATATGTGCCACATTTTCTTAATCCAGTCTATCATTGTTGGACATTTGGGTTGGTTCCAAGTCTTTGCTATTGTGAATAATGCCGCAATAAACATACGTGTCATGTCTCTTTATAGCAGCATGATTTATAGTCCTTTGGGTATATACCCAGTAATGGGATGGCTGGGTCAAATGGTATTTCTAGTTCTAGATCCCTGAGGAATCGCCACACTGACTTCCACAATGGTTGAACTAGCTTACAGTCCCACCAACAGTGTCAAAGTGTTCCTATTTCTCCACATCCTCTCCAGCACCTGTTGTTTCCTGACTTTTTAATGATTGCCATTCTAACTGGTGTGAGATGGTATCTCATTGTGGTTTTGATTTGCATTTCTCTGATGGCCAGTGATGGTGAGCATTTTTTCATGTGGTTTTTGGCTGCATAAATGTCTTCTTTTGAGAAGTGTCTGTTCATGTCCTTCACCCACTTTTTGATGGGGTTGTTTGTTTTTTTCTTGTAAATTTGTTTGAGTTCATTGTAGATTCTGGATATTAGCCCTTTGTCAGATGAGTAGGTTGTGAAAATTTTCTCCCATTTTGTAGGTTGCCTGTTCACTCTGATGGTAGTTTCTTTTGCTGTGCAGAAGCTCTTTAGTTTAATTAGATCCCATTTGTCAATTTTGGCTTTTCTTGCCATTGCTTTTGGTGTTTTAGACATGAAGTCCTTGCCCATGCCTATGTCCTGAATGGTACTGCCTAGGTTTTCTTCTAGGGTTTTTATGGTTTTAGGTCTAACATTTAAGTCTTTAATCCATCTTGAATTGATTTCTGTATAAGGTGTAAGGAAGGGATCCAGTTTCAGCTTTCTACATATGGCTAGCCAGTTTTCCTAGCACCATTTATTAAATAGGGAATCCTTTCCCCATTGCTTGTTTTTGTCAGGTTTGTCAAAGATCAGATAGTTGTAGATATGCGGCATTATTTCTGAGGGCTCTGTTCTGTTCCATTGATCTACATCTCTGTTTTGGTACCGGTACCATGCTGTTTTGGTTACTGTAGCCTTGTAGTATAGTTTGAAGTCAGGTAGTGTGATGCCTCCAGCTTTGTTCTTTTGGATTAGGATTGACTTGGCGATGTGGGCTCTTTTTTGGTTTCATAGGAACTTTAAAGTAGTTTTTTCCAATTCTGTGAAGAAAGTCAGTGGTAGCTTGATGGGGATGGCATTGAATCTATAAATTACCTTGGGCAGAATGGCCATTTTCAAGATATTGATTCTTCCTACCCATGAGCATGGAATGTTCTTCCATTTGTTTGTATCCTCTTTTATTTCCTTGAGCAGTGGTTTGTAGTTCTCCTTGAAGAGGTCCTTCACATCCCTTGTAAGTTGGATTCCTAGGTATTTTATTCTCTTTGAAGCAATTGTGAATGGGAGTTCACTCATGATTTGGCTCTCTGTTTGTCTGTTGTTGGTGTATAAGAATGCTTGTGATTTTTGTACATTGATTTTGTATCCTGAGACTTTGCTGAAGTTGCTTAGCAGCTTAAGGAGATTTTGGGCTAAGACAATGGAGTTTTCTAGACATACAATCATGTCATCTGCAAACAGGGACAATTTGACTTCCTCTTTTCCTAATTGAATACCCTTTATTTCCTTCTCCTGCCTGATTGCCCTGGCCAGAACTTCCAACACTATGTTGAATAGGAGTCGTGAGAGAGGGCATCCCTGTCTTGTGCCAGTTTTCAAAGGGAATGCTTCCAGTTTTTGCCCATTCAGTATGATATTGGCTGTGGGTTTGTCATAGATAGCTCTTATTATTTTGAGATACGTCCCATCAATACCTAATTTATTGAGAGTTTTTAGCATGAAGGGTTGTTGAATTTTGTCAAAGGCCTTTTCCGCATCTATTGAGATAATCATGTGGTTTTTGTCTTTGGTTCTGTTTATATGCTGGATTACATTTATTGATTTGCGTATATTGAACCATCCTTGCATCCCAGGGATGAACCCACTTGATCATGGTGGATAAGCTTTTTGATGTGCTGTTGGATTCAGTTTGCCAGTATTTTATTGAGGATTTTTGCATCAATGTTCATCAAGGATATTGGTCTAAAATTGTCTTTTTTGGTTGTGTCTCTGCCCGGCTTTGCTATCAGGATGATGCTGGCCTCATAAAATGAGTTAGGGAGGATTCCCTCTTTTTCTGTTGATTGGAATAGTTTCAGAAGGAATGGTATCAGTTCCTCCTTGTACCTCTGGTAGAATTCAGCTGTGAATCCATCTGTTCCTGGACTCTTTTTGGTTGGTAAGGTATTGTTTATTGCCACAATTTCAGATCCTGTTATTGGTCTATTCAGAGATTCAACTTCTTCCTGGTTTAGTCTTGGGAGAGTGTATGTGTCAAGGAATTTATCCATTTCTTCTAGATTTTCTGGTTTATTTGCGTAGAGGTGTTTGTAGTATTCTCTGATGGTAGTTTGTATTTCTGTGGGATTGGTGGTGATATCCCCTTTATCATTTTTTATTGCGTCTATTTGATTCTTCTCTCTTTTTTTCTTTATTAGTCTTGCTAGCGGTCTATCAATTTTGTTGATCCTTTCAAAAAACCAGCTCCTGGATTCATTAATTTTTTGAAGGGTTTTTTGTGTCTCTATTTCCTTCAGTTCTGCTCTGATTTTAGTTATTTCTTGCCTTCTGCTAGCTTTTGAATGTGTTTGCTCTTGCTTTTCTGGTTCTTTTAATTGTGATGTTAGGGTGTCAATTTTGGATCTTTCCTGCTTCCTCTTGTGGGCATTTAGTGCTATAAATTTCCCTCTACACACTGCTTTGAATGCATCCCAGAGATTCTGGTATGTTGTGTCTTTGTTCTCGTTGGTTTCAAAGAACATCTTTATTTCTGCCTTCATTTCGTTATATACCCAGTAGTCATTCAGGAGCAGGTTGTTCAGTTTCCATGTAGTTGAGCGGTTTTGAGTGAGTTTCTTCATCCTGAGTTCTAGTTTGATTGCACTGTGGTCTGAGAGACAGTTTGTTATAATTTCTGTTCTTTTACATTTGCTGAGGAGAGCTTTACTTCCAAGTATGTGGTCAATTTTGGAATAGGTGTGGTGTGGTGCTGAAAAAAATGTATATTCTGTTGATATGGGGTGGAGAGTTCTGTAGATGTCTATTAGGTCCGCTTGGTGCAGAGCTGAGTCCAACTCCTGGATATCCTTGCTAACTTTCTGTCTCGTTGATCTGTCTAATGTTGACAGTGGGGTGTTAAAGTCTCCCATTATTATTGTGTGGGAGTCTAAGTCTCTTTGTAGGTCGCTCAGGACTTGCCTTATGAATCTGGGTGCTCCTATTTTGGGTGCATATATATTTAGGATAGTTAGCTCTTCTTGTTGAATTGATCCCTTTCCCATTATGTAATGGCCTTCTTTGTCTCTTTTGATCTTTGTTGGTTTAAAGTCTGTTTTATCAGAGACTAGGATTGCAACCCCTGCCTTTTTTTGTTTTCCATTTGCTTCGTAGATCTTCCTCTATCCTTTTATTTTGAGCCTACGTGTGTCTCTGCATGTGAGATGGGTTTCCTGAATACAGCACACTGATGGGTCATGACTCTTTATCCAATTTGCCAGTCTGTGTCTTTTAATTGGAGCATTTAGTCCAGTTACATTTAAAGGTAATATTGTTATGTGTGAATTTGATCCTGTCATTATGATGTTAGCTGGTTATTTTGCTCATTAGTTCATGCAGTTTCTTCCTAGTCTCGATGGTCTTTACATTTTGGCATGATTTTGCAGCGGCTGGTATCAGTTGTTCCTTTCCATGTTTGGCACTTCCTTCAGGAGCACTTTTAGGGCAGGCCTCGTGGTGACAAAATCTCTCAGCATTTGCTTGTCTGTAAAGTATTTTATTTCTCCCTCACTTATAAAGCTTAGTTTGGCTGGATATGAAATTCTGGGTTGAAAATTCTTTTCTTTAAGAATGTTGAATATTGGCCCCCACTCTCTTCTGGCTTGTAGAATTTCTGCTGAGAGATCTGCTGTCAGTCTGATGGGCTTCCCTTTGTGGGTAACCCGACCTTTCTCTCTGGCTGCCCTTAACATATTTTCCTTCATTTCAACTTCAATGAATCTGACAATTATGTGTCTTGGAGTTGCTCTTCTCGAGGAGTAGCTTTGTGGCGTTCTCTGTATTTCTGAATCTGAATGTTGGCCTGCCTTGCTAGATTGGGGAAGTTCTCCTGGATGACATCCTGCAGAGTGTTTTCCAACTTGGTTCCATTCTCCCCATCACTTTCAGTTACACCAATCAGACGTAGATTTCGTCTTTACACGTAGTCCCATATTTCTTGGAGGCTTTGCTCGTTTCTTTTTATTCTTTTTTCTCTAAAGTTCCCTTCTTGCTTCATTTCATTCACTTCATCTTCCATCGCTGATACCCTTTCTTCCAGTTGATCGCATCGGCTCCTGAGGCTTCTGCATTCTTCACGTAGTTCTCGAGCCTTGGTCTTCAGCTCCATCAGCTCCTTTAAGCACTTCTCTGTATTGGTTATTCTAGTTATACATTCTTCTAAACTTTTCTCAAAGTTTTCAACTTCTTTGCCTTTGGTTTGAATTTCCTCCTGTAGCTCGGAGTAATTTGATCATCTGAAGCCTTCTTCTCTCAGCTCGTCAAAGTCATTCTCCGTCCAGCTTTGTTCCGTTGCTGGTGATGAATTATGTTCCTTTGGAGGAGGAGAGGCGCTCTGCGTTTTAGAGTTTCCAGTTTTTCTGCTCTGTTTTTTCCCCATCTTGGTGGTTTTATCTACTTTTGGTCTTTGATGATGGTGATATACAGATGGGTTTTTGGTGTGGATGTCCTTTCTGTTTTAGTTTTCCTTCTATCTGACAGGACCCTCAGCTGCAGGTCTGTTGGAGTACCCAGCCCTGTGAGGTGTCAGTCTGCCCCTGCTGGGGGGTGCCTCCCAGTTAGGCTGCTCGGGGGTCAGGGGTCAGGGACCCACTTGAGGAGGCAGTCTGCCCGTTCTCAGATCTCCAGCTGCGTGCTGGGAGAAACACTGCTCTCTTCAAAGCTGTCAGACAGGGACATTTAAGTCTGCAGAGGTTACTGCGGTCTTTTTGTTTGTGTGTGCCCTGCCCCCAGAGGTGGAGCCTCCAGAGGCAGGCAGGCCTCCTTGAGCTGTGGTGGGCTCCACCCAGTTGGAGCTTCCCGGCTGCTCTGTTTACCTAAGCAAGCCTGGGCAATGGCGGGCGCCCCTCCCCAAGCCTCGCTGCCACCTTGCAGTTTGATCTCAGACTGCTGTGCTAGCAATCAGTGAGACTCCATGGGCGTAGGACCCTCCGAGCCAGGTGCGGGATATAATCTCCTGGTGCGGCGTTTTTTAAGCCCGTCGGAAAAGCGCTGTATTCGGGTGGAAGTGACCCGATTTTCCAGGTGCCATCTGTCACCCCTTTCTTTGACTAGGAAAGGGAACTCCCTGACTCTTTGCGCTTCCCGAGTGAGGCAATGCCTCGCCCTGCTTCGGCTCGTGCATGGTGCGCGCACCCATTGACTTGCGCCCACTGTCTGGCACTCCCTAGTGAGATGAACCCAGTACCTCAGACGAAAATGCAGAAATCACCCATCTTCTGCGTCGCTCACGCTGGGAGCTGTAGACCAGAGCTGTTCCTATTCGGCCATCTTGGCTCCTCCCCCCATAAGCTCTATAATAATTTTCAATGTTAATGCTACTTGCTCGGAAAATTCCTCATAGCTGAATACATGTTGCAAGGTGCTTAATTTAAATAGATGTCTTTTACTAAATACTGATGTATATCCACCTTTTGTGCTATGTTTAGCAGATTCAAATGACTCTGTGTAGTTACAAATATTAGGAAGTAAAATAAATTTTAAGGACTATAAGACGAATGCAATTTTGCAATTCGGCAAAAAACACAGATTTCCCAAAGTATAAAGTTGGTGATTTAGACAGATGTCTTCTCTACTTCAAAAGGCATCTCATGCAGTAAAACACACTAAGTTTTCTTAGAATTGTTGTAAAATGATTATCCAACTCTACCTAAAAGCAAACAAACTACAGATCATATTAATCTGATAGATTTGCCATTTTAGTTCTCTCAACTGTACCTTGCTCAGAAGCAGATGCTGAGCCAGAGTTAGAAGTACGAGATTGCTGGGAGTAACACCAGGAAAGGTAAAGGGGAATGAAAAAGGGTTATGCAGAGAAAGCCTTCAGACCACAAGGCAGATCTGACATTTGTGGGGGGAAAAAAGAGGGTAAGAAGAATTGGACATGGAGAACAATGCAGGGAATGCAATAAAAATTCCACACTGTCTTGACTAACCCATGTGGCACTCTGCCAAAAAGACAACTGGTCAAGTGAATCCTACATTGGAAGAAATGGTCAGGTCCCTAGTACCCCATCATGCTCAGTCATTGGCTGGGAGATGATCTGGAAAAGTATGACCTTAGCTTGAATCCTGCAGAGGATTCTAAAGGTTTGGGAGCCAAGACCTGTCATCTATCTGTATTCCTCATAGCTGAAGAACAAGCTCTTTCTTGAAGGAAGACCAAGAAGCACACCTCCACAACAGTCACGTATCTCAACAAGGTGGAAAGCCAAAGCCCCTTTGTGAAGCACCTGTAAAGAAAGCTTCATCACACTGAAGTTAAATATATTTATTCATATGTGGATTCTCAACATGTTTTATCTTCCCATTCCTTGAATTCTCAAAACCAACTATATTCCTCTTGCAAAAGCAGCCTTCTGATAGTTGATATGAATTTTCTTATACCAACTGCATCTTCACTTGTCTAATTTTAACACCCCATATCCCTTAAATTTCTTTGCCTTTCCTAGAGGAACTAGAACCTCACCTTGCCTGAGGGCCCAGTATCTTGGGACGGGCATAGGTATGATAGAAACTAACACTCGGTCTTCAGTATATGGAGATGAAGTAAATGTGTAAGTCACTGGGTATTTCAGATATCTATTTCTACAAAACAAAACACTCCCAAATTTAATGGCTTAACATGACTGTGTATCTGCTTATGATTTTACAATCTGAGCAAGGCTCAGCTGGCTGGCTTTTCTGCTGATCTCACATAGGCCATTCATGCAGAAGCAGTTTTCTGCACACTCATTTGGGGCTGAAATCCAAAATTACCCCACTCACACACCTGGTGATTCAGCTGAGCTAGGTGGAAGAACTGCTAGCTAACCAGGCATCTCTCTCATTCTCCTTGCAGCATCTCTAATAGGGTAGCCAACCACATTGCATGATGGCCTAGGGGTCCAAGAGAGTGAAAGTGATGGCTGCCAGGCCTCTTAAAGCCCATAACTGATATAGTATTACTTATACCACATTCTATTAGTCAAAGCAAGTCACAAGTTTATCTCCTGGGTTCAAGAGGAGGAAAAATAGATCCCACTTCTTGATGAGAGAAGCAGCAAAGCATCTGTGGCCAATTTTAATCCACTACTGAAGCAAAGCTGTTATCAAACCAGTAGCATATCTAAAGCATCAATCTCCAGGGAATGAAAAGAGACAAAAATGAGGAAAACAGCAATAGATCAAAAAGTAGAGATGGCCCAGACAGAGCAAGTAGGATCTATACCAAAAGCAGGAGAGACAAATCCAGCAATAACCTAACTGTATAGCTTTAGAATCTTATTGCTATAAGACCAAAGACTAGTTCCAGCACTTATGACATTAGCCTAGTTTCATAGCCTCTATAAGCCTCTATTTTCTCAATTGCCAAATAGATAATATAATGCCCACCTCTCAGGTTGTCATGAGACTCAAATGAGATAATAGATCTATAGAAATCTGTCCCACTCAAGAGTGGAGGTTATAGTTTAGGTTGCTTGTTTTTCCATTTTTGTTTTCTTCTTAACTTTAGAATAGGTAACAGAAAGTCACTTTAGGCTGGGCATGGTGGCTCATGCCTGTAATCCCAGCACTTTAGGAGGCCATGGTGGGCAGAAGGCTTGAACCCAGGAGTCTGAGACCAGCCTGGGAAACATGGAAAAACCTTGTCTCTACAAAAAAAAAAAAAAAAAAAAAAAAATTAGCCGGGTATGCTGGTGTGCACCGGTGGTCCCAAATACTCAGGAGTCCAAGTTGGGAGGATAACTTGAACCCATGGAGGCTGAGGCTGCAGTTAGCCATGATGGTGCCACTGCACTCCAGCCTGGGCAATGGAGTGAAAACTGTCTCAAAAATAAAAAAGAAAAAAAAAAGGAAGTCATTTTAAACTCAGGAAGGGTAGAAGCAGAAAGAGTAGAACCAAATTTTGCAGGATCTTACAGGCCTGTCTTATGATTGGGAAGTTGTATACATGAGAGGGATAAGGGCCTGCACACTAAACCACTGAGAGCTGCTAGAGTACACAAGCCAGGAACTAGAAGTCTCTGATGTTCTTGGAAAATTCAGAGTCATTAAGAAATATACTAATAAGAATTAGGCTAATTATGATCCTGCCTTTATGGAGCCCTTACAGTACTGAAACTGGCACATCCCTCTGCATCAGTTTTAAATTACAAATACTACCACTCATTTATTCAAAAAAATCTGTTTTGAGTGTCTATTACATGCCAAACATTACACATTAACTGTGGAAAAGCCAGAAATCTCTTCTTCCATCGAATGTATCTTAAATCAGTGTGAAGTAAAACATACGTGTGTGTTTCATGTGTTAATCATTATGTGTGTTCCACAGTGTAATCATTTCTTTATAATAATTAGAGAATTGAAAGAAAAAATATGTTATAATAGACTGGGATAGCAAACGATAAACACAGGTGATGAACAAACTATCTAAAATATTTCCTGCCACAAAAGACACTTCTAGATAGCCAGCAGTTTTCTACTTAAGCCTATTTTCATTGTACAATGCAGCACCCCGAGTAATCCATTACAACTGCTGTTTTATAACAATATCTTCAAAATCACTTCAAATGTTTGTTAGGTGATACTGACACCCCACAAAGCAATGATAATAGAAAGGGGCATTGGGAAAAAGTGAATAAAATGCAAACTATAGAAATTCCCTTGTCATATGTCAACCTCAGGAGTCTGCCTTTTCTCCGTCTTCTGATGAATTGGGGCTCTAACAATGAACTCAAATTGATTAGCTGGGTTCTGTACACAGATAAATATAAAATCTCTAAAGATTTGTATGATACTGCTGCTAAAAATTCCAACCTATCTCTTACTAACACATGAAGAAAATATTGACTGAAAAGAGTACTAGGGCAATATGCACTTACATTAGCAACTTCCCAATCTCATAAGCTACAGTTATTCGACACATATTTACTGAGCATGTTCTATCTAGCTAGGCACTGAGATACAAAGATGAAAAAGACATTATCTACCTTCTTGAAGTCATAAAGGTCTAATTGTGAAGAATATTAATTAATTTTTGTTTATTTCCTCTCCCATAGGACAAATAAACTGAGAAGGCAATAAAATAAATTCTGTAATTTGGGCCTACAATGAGCAAGTTTCTTTGACCCATGTCATATTCAATGCAATACAGACTTTTTTTACGTTATATTGTTTCTTCTAGATCCAAAATTATTTCACTGAAATCACTGGATTAACAGTGTATACATTTAACACATTCCCTTCAGTTACAGTCCATTAAGGTCATAAAGTAGGCTCAAGATAAGGTAAACTACTAGACATTCTGATGCCAAATCTACCTCTGTCTCTCACTTGGGACACCCTTGAGATAACCTGGTCCATATTACACTCCAATGATCAATGTCCACATGAATCATCCATGTTAAAAATCAATGCAATCAATATTTCTCTGACCCACAGTCACATACTTCTTGTTCATAGCCTGTAGTATTTTGTACCATGCAATTGGGTCTCTGGTCCCTCCATCAATATAAATAATGAAGGGTTAGTAATTTCCATAAATGCTAAAATGTAAAGAAGTACAAATTTACCCTGAATCTATAACAGTAAAATCAATATTATCTTTTATCACATACTTACAGTCTTTTGACAAAAATCCATAGTGAAAAAAATACATATCAATTGTTTAAAACACATAGGCAAAGTCAATCAAAAAGGTTACATACTGTATCATTCCATTTATACAACATTTTGAAACTACAAAATTTTAGAAATGAGGAATATATCAGTGATTGCATGGGGTTAGGAATGGGGGAACAGAAGGGAGATGAGTGTAGTTACACAAAGGGAATAGGAGGAACCCTTGTGGTGCTGGAACTGTTCAGCATCTTGACTGTGGTGATGGATGCGTGAACCTATATATGTGAAAAACTGTATAGAACTAAACACACACACACATATATACATACAAATAAATACATGGAAAACTAATGAAATCTAACTGTTTGGTGGATTGAGTAAATACCTAGGGTATAATACTGTACTATAATTTTGCAAGATATTAGCACTGGGGGAAATTGGCAAAGGGTTCACAGAAACTCTGCATGTAAAACTGCATATGAATCTATAATTTACTCAATAAATTTTCAATTAAAAGAAATCAGAAAGAGTTTGTATTCATTAAGGTCCCATTTGAAATAATTATGGAAGGTATTCATGCAAATGTGAATATGAAAGATATACATTGAAAACAAGGAAAAACAAAATTTAAAAAACCAATGTTGGTAGAGAGTACCAAGGGATTAAAAAGGCACTTTGAAATTTAGATAACAGAAAAATTCCACTATAAAATAAACGTGCGTAAATTGTGTGATCTGTTCCTTCCCTTGTTCTAATTCCCATATTGTCATTTAGAAACAATACACTAAGCCACATTTTCAAAGCAACTCCTAAATCTAGCCAAGCCCAAACTTGCCTTTAAAAGAGAAGCAATGCTATTAAAACATTTCATCTTGTGAACTATGCACATAACTCCTACTAACAACAATAGGAAATGTTTCAATGTGGTGGCATGAATAGTGAAGTGAAAGAGAAGGAAGGAAAATTAATTATAAGAACACAAAAGATAGGAATGGATAGAAGTATATTTTAAATTATAATTATTTTATCCAGGTCTCTTTTTTAAAATGCTAATGAGAAATAAGACATCTTCTTAAGGAAAGAAGGCCCCAGGAAGACCCCTTCTAAATACGCTCCTCTCCAAATACGGGACCCTGTGTCTTTAAACCAGAGTTGCCCCAAGATTATGTCTCATGAATATCCCCACCCCAGAAATCATTTCCATGCACCAGCTTGCTTTGTTACCTGAGCCTGCAAAATTTACTCTTTGATAATTTGATGTGCTTGTACTACTGTTACAGAGTGAAAACATGCGAGTCATTCTGAGAATATTACAAAGAAAAAACAAAGAATAACTTAGATATTTAGGTATAAATATTTCATTTATCTAATATATGAGTTATGTTTTATTCAATTAGTGGTAATAAAAGCAGCCAGGATCAGTCCCACTTGATATGTAATGTAGGCAAAACAAATAAACAATCTTTATCATATGGCTCTTAGTTTTTGTCCTGTACCAGATCAGTTCAAATAGTCAAGGCATCTAAACTCATTCCTACTTCCGCTGTCAAAGCTCGCTTACAGCAGACATTATACAGTAATCATTCATGCCAAAGGGTAGATGTTATTAAAGACTCAAGTAATAATTCCCTGAAAGAATAAATATATATTTTTAAGAAATAGAGATACAATTTGTATTTTAATAGTGATGAAAGTTTTATGTTTTGAGGTTTGATCAGAATTCCAGGTATCAATATCAAAAAATGACAAGCGAAGACGTTTGTTTCGAGGACACCAGATCCTGCTTGTGTGTTATAATACAATATGCTGTCTAATGCACTGCCTATGTGTGAAAATGCCTGGTACAGGTCTTAGCATATGGTAGGTGCTCTGTAAATATGCTGAATTTTTTAATGCTGTAATTGTACCACATAATTATAGCAAGCTATCTAGTCTACCTAAATATAATATTAGCTCTGAATGATTTTCAAAAATATATAACTGTCATATACTCTAAGCATCAAGAGAACATAACCTCTTCATATTACATGTAATTATCTACTCTCTCCACAATGTTCCCAAGATTATTTTTTCTTAGACTACCATTAAGCATATTTCCACGGAAACTTATAATAGTTTAGGATTTTACGTATTCTATTGCCTGTTTCCCACCTCAGGTTAGAAGTATTTAAGTGAAAAATTGATACAACTTTTTTATTGTCAAAATAATGATTCCTTGCTTATTAAATGACATAAAGATAATATTGTTTTGTAAAAATCAATTCCCATTTATATAAATTCAATTTCTAAATCATCTTCAAAATGCAAAAAATTGCCAAATTATTTCATGATTAATTTTACCACATAACTAAATTAGCATATATTTATATAGTTATTTATCTTTATTTCAAAAATGGAGAAGGGAATAAGAAAAATTAAAATCCAGAGGTTATTAAAATATGTATTTCTGTGTGATTGTGGTGCAATGATACATCTAAATTGCATCTGATCAGTTACAGTTTTCTGAAACAATACACATATCTGAAATGATCAGGACCAGCTCTAGCTGGTTCTTACAGATAGCCTTGGCAAGGTGTCCACTGCCTGGTAAATTAAAGCGATTCATCAATGTCATTGCTGTCGCAAATGCACAAGATTGGCCAGGAGAGACGGATACAAAGTACAGAAACGTGCCAGATGTGTTGCATGCTTGAATTTTTTTCAGAGAGGATATGCACTTCATGTATGCTGAAGCCCATCAAACCTGATTTCTGTTTTGTTATGTTGTCAGAAATCCTGTTCATTAAAATCTAAGAGTGATAGCTTAAGTCACAGAAAGCAAAAAAAAAAGCAAATCAAAAAGAAATATATATTCATGTGCAGGGGAAAAAATCACATAGGCGACAAAGTTAAAAAAAAAATCATAGAAGAATAAGCCCCAGAGAAGCATAGTTTGTTGTTTTGAGATAAGTGCTAATGTGATGAAATTAAATGTTTTGAATTACCGTATTTGCCCCTTATCTACAGAGGATACCTTCCAAGACCCCCAGCAGATGCCTGAAGCCACAGATAGTACCAAGTCCTATCTATACTGTGTTTTTCCTTATACATACACACCTATGATAAAGTTTAATTTCTAAATTAGGCACAGTGAAAGATTAACAAAAATAACTAAAAACAAAATATTTTATAACAACATACTGTAATAAAGGTGATGTGTGTTCTCATTTTCTCTCAAGGCATCTTATTGTACTATACATACCTATTTTCAGACTAGGATTGACCACAGGTTAACTGAAATCATAGAAATCGAAACTGCAGATAAGGGGAAACTACTGTACATGGTCTTAGTAATTTTAAGACAGAGAAATATTAGCAACATAAAAGTTCTTAATAATATTTTACTTATCATTATTACGCTATTTCCCGTAGATCTATTTCCTTATTCCTAATTTATAGAAGCAATCTAAAGACTCAGAGTTCTAGCATTTAACTCAATAACTTTATTTAAGCATGGGATACTTACAAGGTATTATTTCAGGTACAAGAGTGATATCAAAACCAGTACAATCATAATCTTTCTCACAAAATAAGTATGCTTGTCAGTATCTAAAACTGAACAATAGTCCATATGCCCAATACAAGTAGTGGGATCTGAAAAATCCCCACTTCATTTACAATGAAGAGCAAGGCATGATTTTTATTGAAAATAAGATTAAACTCACAAGTGAGACAGATAAATATACTTGGGACTAGGGTTTAGGTAAGTGACACAGAATGATAATGTAGATTTGAAGGCGACAACATATATATAATAATTGGGATGATGAGAATGAGTAATATATAAATTATGTAGTGTGAAAAATAAGCCCTGACACCGTTCAAGATAAATATTTCAGGCATACCTGTTTACCAGACATCTACAATTGGATGTCCATTCTAAAAAATAACCTGATAAGAGAATTAATCATTTCTTTCCAAACTTACTTCTCCTCCTATATTTCCTATCACAATGAAGTCCCAAAACATAGGAATTACCAATGACATTGTTCTCCCCATCAATCCCCAACAAATACGTCAGTGCATCCTGTAGATACATTCTCACAAAAAGTTCATTTTCCTCATCCCTATTTCCATACTTCTAATTCATGTTACCATTATTCTCATGTAGATTATTCAAATGATTTCTAACCCATCTCTCTCTGTGATCTTTCAACTCCTGTTCTTTGCCCTGAAGCCAGAATTAGCCTTCTAAAATGCCAACTTCACTCCTTTGCATAAATCCTTTAATAATTTCTCCTTAACCTTAGGTCAAATTCCAAACCCTTTCACAGGGCGTAAAAAGCCTTGATCATCAATATCAAATCTCAATAGTATAACCCCCTTCATTGCTAACACCAAACACATATACAGGCATCCTACTCCATAGACATATTAATATTTATTTATTTATTTTGTAAAGACAGGGTTTTGCTATGTTGTCCAGGCTGGTCTTGAACTCCTGGTCCTAACTATTCTCCCACTTTGGCCTTCCAAAGCTCTGGAATTACAGGCATGAGTCACCACACCTGGCCTAATCTTTTTCAAGTTATTTTAAAGTTTCAGGTTTTCGTATCATGTTTACATTTTTATATAGTTCCAACCCCACTTCCAGCCCATGAAGAGTAAACTACTCCTAAGGAAATTAAGACCCTGAAAAGTTATCACTTGCCCTTATTATGTAGCTAGCTGTATATAACTCAATAATTAAAGCCAGACTGCCTCACTGCAAGTTTAATGTTTTATTTCTTATTTGAGTTTTACAACTTTTTTAAATTAGCAGCACAAATCTCTCTTTTTTCAATTTTTATTTTAAATTCAGGGGTACACGTGCAAGTTTGTTACAAAAGTAAACACCGTGTGATGCTGGGTTTTGGGGTACAAATGATCCCAGCACCCATATGCTGAACATAGTACTCAATAGTTAAATACTATACAAAATACTAGCAAACTGAATCCAACAGCACACCAAAAAGTTAATTCACCAGGATCAAGTCTGCTTCATTCCTGAGATGTAAGGTTGGTTCAACATACTCAAATAAATAAATGTGATTCAGCATATGAATGAATTAAAAACAAAAACCGCATGATCATCTCAGTAGACATGGATAAAGCTTTCAATAAAATCTAACCTCCTTTCATGATAAAAACCCTTAAGAAACTAGACATTAAGGGATGGGTATGGGGACCCATGCCTGTAATCCCAGAACTTTGGGAGGCTGAGGCAGCAGGGTCACTTAAGCCTAGGAGTTTGAGACCAGCTTGGGCAACATAGTAAGACCCCCACCTACATACAATAAAAATTTTAAAATTTGCCAGATGTGGTGGTGTGTGTCTGTAGTCTCAGCTACTCATAAGGCTGAGGTGGCAGGATCTCTTGAGCCTGGGAGGTCAAGGCTGCACTGAGCCATGATCATACCACTGCACTCCAGCCTGGGTAACAGAGTGAGATCCTGTCTCAAAAAAACAATAATAATAATAAAGAAAAAGAAATTAGGCATTGTAGGAATATAATTCAAAATATTAAGAGCCATTTATAACAAACACACAGCCAATATCATAGTGAACAGGCAAAAACTGGACACATTCCCCTTGAGAACCAGAACAAGACAAAAAATGCCTACTCTCACCACTCCTATTCAACATAGTACTGGAAGTGCCAGCCAGAGCTATCAGGCAAGAGAAGGAAATAAAAGGCATCCAAATAGGAGAAGAAGAAGTCAGCCTATCTCTCTTTTGGGACAATATAATTCTATACCTAGAAAGCCCTAAAGAGGGCTGGGCATGGTGGCTCATGCCTATAATCCCAGTACTTTGGGAGGCCGAGGCGGGCGGAATACAAGGTCAGGAGTTTTGAGACCAGCCTGGCCAACATGATGAAACCCTGTTTCTACTAAAAAAATACAAAAATTAGCCAGGCATGGTGGCAGGCACCTGTAATTCCAGCTACTCAGGAGGCTGAGGCAAGAGAATCACTTGAACCCCGGAGGTGGAGGCTGCAGTGAGCCGAGATCGCACCACTGCACTCCAGCCTGGGAAATGGAGCAAGACTCCATCTCAAAAATAAAAAACAAAAAAACGTCTAAAGACTCCACCAAAAGGCTCCTGGAGCTGATAAATGACTTCAGGAAAGTTTCAGGATACAAAATCAATGTACGAAAATTAGTAGCACTGCTATACACCAATAACATCCAAGTCAAATCAAGAATGTAATCTCATTTACAACAGCAACACACAAAAAAATTAAATACCTAGGAATAAATCTAACCAAGGACGTAAAAGATCACTACAAGGAGAACTACAAAACACTGCTAAAAGAAATCACAGATGACAAAAACAAATGGAAAACATCCCATGTTCAAGGGTCGGAAGAATCAATCATTGTTAAAATTGTCATACTGCCAAAGGAAACCTCCAGATTCAATGCTATTCCTGTTGGTTGCCAAGTGACCAACATCATTTATCACAGAATTAGAAGAAAAATGATTCTAAAATTCATATGGAACCGAAAACCAGCCTAAATATCCAAAGAAATCCTAAACAAAAAGAACAAAGCTGGAAGCATCACACTGTACTATGGACTTCAAACTATACTATAATGCTACAGTAGCCAAAACAGGATGGTACTGGTACAAAAAAAGATGCATAGATCAATGAAACAGACTAGAGAACCCAGAAACAAAGTCACACACCTACAGCCATCTGATCTTCAACAAAGTCAATGGAAATCTCTTTTATAAATGATATCTAATACAGAACTGTAATGTGCACATCTTTAATATAAGTTGCTCTGACTGTCACAGTTTTGTAGTTGAAAGATCTTAAAAACATTCCCATCCACTGGACTATCTCAAAAACACTATACACCTCACTTCAATAATGGAAGCTTATGAACTCCAGCTGTAGGGAGAAATCCTTTGAGTCTTTCCTATATTATGCCTTAGTACACAGAAGAAGGAATTTAGAGCAAAACATCTGGCAACTAGTGAAGCGCTTTTCAAATTCAATGCATGAATCAATCACCCAGGAGTAGAGAGAAGTATTGTTAAAAAGCGCATTCTGATTCAGTAGGTCCGGGATTAAGCCTTAAATTCTGCATTTCTAACAAGCTTCCAGGTGATGCAGACGGTGCTGATTCAAGAACCACCACACATTTGAGTAGCAAGGGTCTGTGTTATATAAAAAGTTTCTGCTCCTTTCTACCAACTTATTCAAATCTCTTCAGGGATAAAGAGTGACAAATTTTATCCATCAGAATTTTTCACAGTTGGTGAGCGGAATTCATTAGATATTATCCACGTACATACAGAACACACACACATATTCACACACACTACAAACTCTGTCTTCTGCACCTCCTACATCCTGACCCTGTGCAGGCCCCCACCTCGCCCCTGCCCTTCTCTCCTGCTTCATGTTCTCAGGTAGTAAAGCCTGTTGGACAGTGAGTGGGTTCCAAAGATTAGATCTGGGGTTCCAAAGATTAGATCTGAGGCAGGTTTTCAATTTAGCCTCAGGTCTAAGATACATTTTCCATTGCACCTTTGCCAGAAAGTTCTATATTTTGAAATTATTGGGAACTATCTTGCCCATTATTAAAGCAGATACTTTGACCCACATTTGATCACTAGTGCCCTGTGTATATTTTATCTGTCAAATAGAGCACAGAGGAGTGTGAACTTGCTTTTATTTTTTTTAACCAGGTGTGCATATTTTTAAACTGAGATAAATGGTGTTTTTCCTGAACTTCAAGAAAGTCAGGTGATGTTGAAATCTATACAGTGAAAGCTTACTCACCCCTCATTAAACTTGCTACTATACTAAAGGTCGAAAGTAACTGATTTCACTTCCTGTAAACAAGTAGGTCAAGGACATCCTTTTTGTAGTCAATATGCTTAAGAAATATATACTTTGGTGAAAGGACTTTAATTCACTAAATGCTCACTCAAGTGAAAGACACTTTGAAAACCTTTTACAAAGAAAATATTTTTTATAACTAGCTTTGTAAAGAAAGGCTACAATGTAATCATGTATTGCTGATGATAATGCTTCACTAGTTGGGTATTACATTCAACCTATTTCTCAGGAACGGTGAACATGCTTAGGAGAATCTTTATATAGCTCCTACCTAATCATTTTTAAATAACCTATTTATTTTGATAGAATTCTATTCAACCAGAAAAACATAATGTAAAGAGAAAAATATAGCACTCAAAGCATTAATTCATGACACATTTCTTTAAAATTAATGAGCTGTTAGAATTCATACTCATCTTTCTTCCCTTAATAACAAATCTGTCAAAAAGAATTTACATAACTGTACAATCAAACACAAATTGAAAAACCTAACAGGAATGCTATATTAAAAGGAATAAAATTAGAATAAAATGTAACATTCCTGGAAGAGCATATTTACTAGAATATTCAAAATTCTTTGTAAAAGGTAATGTGATTCACAACAAGGGAATCCTTTAACCTCTCTGGACCTCAGCTTCTTCATTTATAAAAGTAGAAAAATGTTTTTTTAAAGTCTGTTATCTCAAAAGCCTATATGATTGTTCTAATTTCACAATTTACTCTCATCTAGGACTGAATTAGCAGAAACTCTGATTGTGCCTTTGTTATGTAGCAAATCCACTGACTTGGCCAGATCTTACAGTATTTCTTTAGGAAATACATCTACTTTTTATTGCCTTGTAATGACCTAGCAACTGCATGGCTACATGATGTCAAAATAACTGAGAAATTCACAGTTAATTCATTTTTGTGAACAATATTTACTGATTATGCTGAGTGATCACATTTTAGAATCATAAGCTTTAATCTCCAGCGTTTCCCTGGGTGCTCTCCAGCAATCCTATTAGTGCATCCCTAACTCGCCTAGGTGATATATTCATATTCTTTACTCTCCTCTCAAACCTCCAACACCTTCTCCTATTATCCTCACTCTCACATTGGTCTATTACTGAAAACATAGAAGCATTTTGAAAAGAACTTCTATAGACTCCTAGTTCCACATTCCCAATCCACTTGCAACTCTGTCCATGTAATCTCCCTTTCTTACCACTGCTAAAGATAAACACCTCCTGTGTCTATCCAAGGCCAGCTCTCCCATATTTGCACTGCGTTCCATCCCCTCTCAGCAAATTAATCGCCTCATTCCAGAAATTGCATTCCTTCTCCATTACATGGTTAATTTTATCTTCTTTAGATTATTGCCTACAAATTTATTCAGATTATTCCTTATAAACATAATGTATTAACCTTAAAAACAAACAAAAATTCCTTAATCCCTCTCCTCCCTCCAGCTATTGACTTATTCTATTCTCTCTTTTATGGCTAAATCATTCAAAAGCATCTCTCATCCTTTCTGTCTCTACTTCTGTTTTCTCCAATTTTCATTTAAAGATATTCCAGTCAAGTTTTTGTCACCACAATTTCAATGAAGCAGCTTTTGTCCAAGTAATGAATGATCTTCATATTGCTAAGACCACTGCTAAATTCAGTCCTCACCTTATTTAAGAACTAGCATCTGTCAGTGTTGACTAATCCCTTCTTGATGTACTTTCCTTACTTGGCGTCGAGTACAACAAACTCTCCTGGTTTTCCTCCTCACTTCTTGGCTTGTCCCTCACCAAGCATTTGCTGGTTCTTCTTCATAGTTTCCACAATCTCCACAAGTGCACACTCCTCAGAGTTCAGTTCGTGGACCTCTCCTCTTTATTATGTACACCCCTCTGCCAGGTGATCTCACCTAGTTCCACGTGGTAAATGCCCAGCTATATACCGTGGACTTCCAAATCTCTATCCCCAGCCCAGATCTAGCCTGTGAAATCCAGAATCACATATTCTATGGCCTACTCAACATTTTCACTTAGATGTCCAATAGACATCTCAACCTTACCACATCCCAAAGGAAATACCTGGTTTTCCTCCAAATACTTGCTCATCTCACAATCTCCTTCCCCATCTCAGAAAATGGCAATTCCATATTTACAGTCCAATCTAAAAACCAGGCATCCTATGTCCCTTTCTCACACACTTCATATTAATCCTCTAGCAATTCCTTATGACTCTCTCTCCACTGCTACCACCCTGTCAGCTACCATTGCTTTCTCCTGATTACCCTGCTATCAGGGTATTTTCAACACTGATGCCAGAGTGCACCTGTCAAATCAGAAGTCAGATCATGTTGCTCTTCCTTATAAAGCACGCATAACCTTTACTATGTCACACAGATAAAACCCAAAATCCTTACAAATGCCTTCATGATCTAACTTCCCCCATACACATGTTAGGCCTCATCTGCCATTACTCTCCCTCTTAACCACTCTGCTACAACACTGTTCTCCTGGCTCATTCATCAACAGGCCCAGTCCTCTCCTGCTAAGAGGTCTTTACACTTGATGTTCTCTTTGCCTAAAATATTCTTCCCACAAATTAGCCACCCAAAGATCTCTGCTCAAATGCTATCTTTGCAGAAAGACCTTTTGTGAACATCTTACATAAAATGCAACTACCATTGCACTCCTATTTCTCCTCATCTTACTTTAATTTTCTCCTTAGCATTATCAGACATACAATATATCTATACTCTTTTGGAGTTTCAAACTCTCCAAATACCACTTATTTCCAGTACGTCAGATATAAACTAGTTCTAGTAAACAACTTTCTAACTTGATTAAATATGTAATATAGTTTATTCAGGGTTAAATTTATTCTCTACTTTGTTCTTGTATTCCTTAAAAACTGAAGAAAGTCAATCCTTCAAATGTATTTAACTATAAGAGATGGGTCACCATTTTAAGTGATACAACATAAAGAAAGCAAACTTGATGTGAATAAAAACAGAGAAAGTAAAGTCCCTTAAGATGGAATTTTCAACTTTTTAATATTCAGAGTAATATATATTTCAAGATGAAAATATTGTGATTATTAGATACTCAAATGCATTAGTTTCCATCATACATTTAAAGAAACAAAACCAATTTGTATATTGGGTGGAGATATATATACATACATGACAACCCAAACAAATACAGCTGCTTTTCCGAACTCCTCAAAACTTGAGCTCTTTACAGTGAATATGTGGGAATATTTGGGAATCTTATTGTGGCAATTTAAAAATCTCTGGACTATAAGATGCTTTGATGAAAGTGATATAGACAAGACAAAGAATCTCCCGAAGAAAGTATCCAATTTTATGATACATCTTGAAATTTTTCTACCTAATGAAAGCAGGTATATGATGAGAGCTGTATTCAAATAACTAAAGGGCTGACAGCGGTTGTTGTCTGCACTTGAACTTGACATTCTGCTAAGATCGTTTGTCCTGTTAAAGAAGTATTCTGTGTTTCCGTCCAACTTTAAGATTATTTGTTATTTTCTTCTTTTCTACTTCTGTCTATTCTGCCTACAGATGTGCTCAAGAATCTTTGAGAGGAAAAAAAAGCAAAAAACAAAACACAATGACTTCCTTGATTATCTTCTTCCTCTCAAGAATTCATCAGTAAACTTCCTAAAACATGTTTCTGATTACATTATTACAACTAATATTATTCACTAACTGTTAATCACATATGGAATGAAATCCAAGATTCTTAGGGTAAACTGTTGTGGCTGACTGTATTTGCCAACCATGGGTATAAGAATACTACATCCCACCAGCTTTCCTTCAATGTGATTTTGCCACTCCATTTGAAAGCAGAGTCAAATTGTTCTCTTCTTGAGTCTGGTCTGGCATTCGTGCTTTTCTTGTATCTAATAAAATGCAATGGAGATTCCACAGTCATAACAGTAGCTCCTTTTCCTATATACCTGTGAGCAACACTCAAGAATCTTCATTCTTACTCATTTTAAATGTAACCAGTTATGCAATCATTCTCCTTCCCTTGAAAGCACTAATGCTGGACTATTACAGGACTAACCATGTCTTCTCTGAAGCAAGAGACAATGAAGGTAGAGATATGACTTTTACAAATAGCTAAAAATAGGGGTTTAAGAAACCCACAAATTTCTGGGCTTGCAGTTCTTAAAGTTGAGAATTGAAGATCTGCTGATCTTGTTGCACATGGGGATTTCAAATGCTTTTATTCTTCCAAGGAACAGTTTAAAAAGAATTTTTCAAGGACTTTATCTTTTTCCCCAAAATTGAAAGAAAAGTTACTAAGTTCCCTATCATTGTCTGATATTACTATGTAAAACAAAAATGCCTATGAAACTGGACTGTTTTTAACAGCTAGTAGACTAAGGGAAATATAAACTGTTGAAAGTCTGAGAATACACTCAAGACAACTGAAATAAACAAAAATCACATCTCTCCCATAAGACAACAGAATTCTCATAAAGCTAATTAAATCATAAAGCATAATTGTGAAAATGGAATTATTTTAATTAAAAAAAAACAAAATGTTTTACATAGGATTTTAAGTATTCTGCTTTTCAAAACCACTGCCTAACAAAGTCATACAATCATTTAGAGTTTTGCCATCTGTGTCTTTTATTTTATTAGAAATGATAGCAGACGCCAGGCCAGGCACGGTAGTTCATGCCCATAATCCCAGCACTTTGGGAGGCTGAGGCCAGAGGATTGCTTGAGCTCAGGAGTTCTAGAGCAGCCTGGGAAGTATAGGGAGACTCTGTCTCTACAAATAATTTAAAAAATTAACCAGGTATGGTGGCACATGCCTGTAGTCTCAGCTACTCAAGAGGCTGAGGCAGGAGGATCGCTTGAGCCCCAGAGGTTGAGGCTGTACTCAGTTGTGATTTCACCACTTCACTTCAGCCTGGGCAACAGAGTGAAATCCTGTCCAAAAAAAAAAAAGAAAAGAAAAGAAAAGAAAAGAAATGATAGCAGAATACCTGAAACTCATACAACAAATAGCTATCATCAATTCAAATGAAGACAACTGCTTAAACTTCATAATTCAACTTTAAGACAAAACATATATATGTATAGTTCATTTTAAATTATTTTTGTGTAGATTTTTCAAAGTTCTGGGAAACAATCATTGATTCTTTTAAACAGTGTAAACTGAAAAGATCATAGCAACAACCACTTGCCTGCTGATACAGGTCAAAGAAGGAAAAGGGAAATGACTGCTCAATTTCCTTCTTTTTAACAAAAGACCTTTTACCTACATAGCTGTTTCTTGGGCCATTGAAAGAGTGCAAACAGAGCATGGAAGGGAAAAAGAGATTCCTCCAGTTAGTATTATGCAGGAAGTCCAAGTGTTTACTTTGCTAACATTAGGGCATAGAAAAACAGCAAGATACCGAGAGAGAAAGGCTTCAGAAATTTTAATAACAGACAAAACTGCCTGATTAAAGTACTGCACAAACCAAACCAAACCAAAACAAAACATATAAGGGGATGCTGTCACTTAATCCCAGAGGAGAAAAATTAAACAGGACAGTCCTTTAACAATGATTGATAAAGATTAATTCTTAATCTGATTTACATTTTAAAACAGTACTATACCGAAAAATTAAAAAAAAAAAAAAACACTAGACAAACAGACACAATGAGCTTGGTCACTCAGAGAAATTTAGTTTGGAAAGGAAGTCCTAAAGATTTAATTGGCCCAAAGTAAAGGAAAACTGAAATTCAAAATGCAATGCCACACACAGAAAACATGTTATTATACATTCCATTGTTCTCAAATAAAATTAGAACTGTCTTAAGGTCTCACTGATTAGATCATGAGAAATCTAGTATTATTTTTTAGGCAAAGGTCATGGGCCCCTCTGGTAGTGCAGACATACGCAGATCAAAAGGGGCATGGCCAGACTTCTACTCCAAGCAAGACTGGGACCACACCACTGGCCTAGGGTAGTCAGGCTGCTACTCCTTCACCTTTACCTTAGAACTGATTGCCCTCAGATTCTGCCCCTCCACCATCTGTTCCACTACTCATTGCCCAGATCCCTACCAATGATAGTAGTACACAGAATGCTCCAAGGGCAAATCCACTCCTCTGTGCAAGGCTTGACTAGGGGTGCCCCTCACTTGGGCTCTCATGACCAGAACACTTAGTGTCTACTGATTTCCACACCCATACCGCCATCTATTTCAGCGGGTCACCCTTTACAGCTTCTTTATACAGTGAAGGGAGGCAATAAGGAATAGAAGACTGTCCAAATGGTCACTGGCCCAATTTCTTATAAACAAGTAAGCCTCTGAGCATCTTCTGGAAGGGTAAAAATAGGAGACCTGAAAATTATCTCAGGCAAATATTTTAATTATTGTCAGTACAAAGCCTAACAAAAACAATACATAAGAAAAAATAGGTAGATGTTTGGCACTCGGTGGCTGGCAAGATGGCCAAATACGAACGGCTCCGGTCTGCAGCTCCCAGGGAGATAAAGGCAGAAGGCAGGTGATTTTTGCATTTCCACCTGAAGTACCTGGCTCATCTCAGTGGGACTGGTTAGAAACTGGGTGCAGCCCACGGAGGGCGAGCTGAAGCAAGATAGGGCATCACCTCACCTGGGAAGCAAAAGGGGTTGGGGAACTCCCTCCCCTAGCCAAGGGAAGCCAGGAGGGACTGTACTGTGAGGAACAGTGCATTCTGGCCCAGATACTATGCTTTTCCCAGAGTCTTTGCAACCCACAGACCAGGAGATTCTTTCAGGTGCCTACATCACCAGGGACCTGGGTTTCAAGCATAAAACTGGGTGGCCGTTTGGGCAGACATTGAGCTAGCTGCAGGAGTTTTTTTTCATACCCCAGTGGTGCCTGGAATGCCACCGAGACAAAACCGTTCACGCCCCTGGAAAGAGGGGCTGAAGCCAGGGAGCCAAGTGGTCTAGCTCAGTGGATCCCATGTCTACAGAGCCCAGCAAGCTAAGATCCAATGGCTTGAAATTCTTGCTGCCAGTACAGCAGTCTGAAGTCGACATGGGACACTTGAGCTTGGTTGGGGGAGGGGCATCTGCCATTACTGAGGCTTGAGTAGGCGATTTTCCCTTTACAGCATAAACAAAGCTGCTGGGAAGTCCGAACTGGGTGAAGCCAACTGCAGCGCCACAAAACCACTGTAGCCAGACTGCCTGCCTCTCTAGATTCCTCCCCTCTGTGTAGGGCATCTCTGAAAGAAAGGCAGCAGCCCCAGTCAGGGACTTATAGATAAAACTCCTATTTCCCTGGGACAGAGCACCTGGGGGAAGGGGTGGCTGCGGGCGCAGCTTCAGCAGACTTAAACGTTCCTGCCTGCAGCCTCTGAAGAGAGCAGCAGATCTCCCGGCACAGTGCTCAAGCTCTGCTAAGGGACAGATTGCTTCCTAAAGTGAGTCCCCAACCCCCATTCCCCCTGACTGGGAGACACCTCCCAGCAGGGGTCGACACACACCTCACACAGGAGCACTCTGGCTGGCATCTGGCGGGTGCCCCTCTAGGACGAAGCTTCCAGAAGAAGGAATAGGCAGCAATCTTTGCTGTTCTGCAGCCTCTACTGTTGATACGCAGGCAAACAGGTTCTGGAGTGGACCTCAAGCAAACTCCAGCAGACCTGCAGCAGAGGGGCCTGACTGTTAGAAGGAAAACTAACAAACAGAAAGAAATAGGATCAACATCAACAAAAAGGACGTCCCCACAAAAACCCCAGCAGAAGGTCACCAACATCAAAGACCAAAGGTAGATACATCCACAAAGATAAGGAAAAACCAGCACAAAAACGCTGAAAATTCCAAAAACCAGAACGCCTTGTCTCCTCGAAAGAATCACAGCCCCTCGGCAGCAAGGGAACAAAACTGGGTGGTGAATGAGCTTGACGAATTGACAGAAGTAGGCTTCAGAAGGTGGGTAATAACAAACTCCTCCGAGCTAAAGGAGCATGTTCTAACCCAATGCAAGGAAGCTAAGAACCTTGAAAAAAGGTTAGAGGAATTGCTAACTAGAATAACCAGTTTAGAGAAGAACATAAATGACCTGATGGAGCTGAAAAACACAGCATGAGAATTTCATGAGGCATTCACAAGTATCAACAGACAAATCAATCCAGCAGAAGAAAGGATATCAGAGATTGAAGATCAACTTAATGCATCATAATGACAGGATCAGATCACACATAACAATATTAACCTTAAATGTAAACAGGCTAAATGCCCCAATTAAAAGACACAGACCGGCAAATTGGATAAAGAGTCAAGATTCATGGGTGTGCGGTATTCAGGAGACCCATCTCACATGCAAAGACACACAACAGGCTCAAAATAAAGGGATGGAGGAATAATTATCAAGCAAATGGAAAAAAGAAAAAGAAAAAAAACAGGGGTTGCAATCCTCGTCTCTGATAAAACACTTTGAACCAACAAAGATCAAAAGAGACAAAGAAGGGCATTAAATAACGGTAAAGGGATCAATGCAACAAGAAAAGCTAACTATCCTAAATATATATGCACCCAAAACAGGAGCACCCAGATTCAAAAAGCAAGTTCTTAGAGACCTACAAAGAGACTCAGACTCCCACAAAGTAATAGTGGGAGACTTTAATATTAGACAGATCAATGAGACAGAAAATTAACAAGGATATTCAGGACTTGAACTCAGCTCTGGACCAAGCAGACCTAATAGACATCTACAGAACTCTCCACCTCAAATCAACAGAATATACATTCTTCTCAGCACCACATCACACTTATTCTAAAATTGACCAAATAATTGGAAATAAAACACTCCTCAGCAAATGCAAAAGAATGGAAATCATAACAGTCTGTCAGACCACAGTGCAATCAAATTAGAACTCAGCATTAAGAAAATCACTCAAAGCCACACAACTACATGGAAACTGAACAACCTGCTCCTGAAAGACTGCTGGGTAAATAATGAAATTAAGGTAGAAATAAATAAGTTCTTTGAAACCAATGAGAACCAAGACACAACGTACCAGAATCTCTAGGACACAGCTAAAGCAGTGTTTAGAGGGAAATTTATAGCAGTAAATGCCCACAGGAGACAGCGGGAAAGATCTAAAATTGACACCCTAACATCACTATTAAAAGAACTAGAGAAGCAAGAGCAAACAAATTCAAAAGCTAGCAGAAGATAAGAAATAACTAAGATCAGAGCAGAACTGAAGGAGATGGAGACACAAAAAAACCCTTCAAAAAATCAATGAATCCAGAAGCTGGTTTTTTGAAAAGATTACAAAATAGATAGAATGCTAGCCAGACTAATAAAGAAGAAAAGAGAGAAGAATCAAATAGACACAATAAAAAATGATAAAGGAGATATCCCCACTGATCCCACAAAAATACAAACTTCTATCAGAGAATACTATAAACACCCCTACGCAAATAAACTAGAAAATCTAGAAAAAATGGATAAATTCCTGAACACATACACCCTCTCAATACTAAACCAGGAAGAAGTCAAATCCCTGAATAGACCAATAAAAAGTTCTGAAATTGAGGCAGTAATTAATAGCCTACCAACCAAAAAAAGCCCAGGACCAGATGGATTCATAGCCGAATTCTACCAGAAGTACAAAGAGGAGCTGGTACCATTACTTTTGAAACTATTCCAAACAATAGAAAAAGAGGGACTCCTCCCTAACTTGTTTTATGAAGCCAGTATCATCCTGATACCAAAACGAGGCAGAGATACAACAAAAAAAGAAAATTTCAGGCCAATATCCCTGATGAACATCGATGCAAAAATCCTCAATAAAATATTGGCAAACTGAATCCAGCAGGACATCAAAAAGCTTATCCACCACAATCAAGTAGGCTTCATCCCTGGGATGCAAGATTGGTTCAACATATGCAAATCAATAAAGTCATCCATTACATAAACAGAACCGAAGACAAAAACCACATGATTATCTCAATAGATGCAGAAAAGGCCTTCATACCTTTCTGCTTCAACACCCCTTCATGCTAAAAACTCTCAATAAACTAGGTATTGAGGGAACCTATCTCAAAATAATAAGAGCTCTTTATGACAAACCCACAGCCAATATCATACTGAATGGGCAAAAGCTGGAGGCATTGCCTTTGAAAACTGGCACAAGACAAGGATGCCCTCTCTCACCACTCCTATTCAACATAGTATTGGAAGTTCTGGCCAGGGCAATCAGGCAAGAGAAAGAAATAAAGGGTATTCAAAAACGAAGACAGAACATCAAATTATCTCTGTTTGCAGATGACATGATTGGATATTTAGAAAACTCCATCATCTCAGCCCAAAATTTCCTTAAGCTGATAAGCAACTTCAGCAGTCTCAGGATACAAAATCAACGTGTGAAAATCACAAGCATTCCTATACACCAATAACAGACAAACAGAGAGCCAAATCTTGAGTGAACTTCCATTCACCAATTGCTACAAAGAGAATTAAATACCTAGGAATACAACTTACAAGGGATGTAAAGGACCTCTTAAAGAAGAACTACAAACTTCTGCTCAAAGAAATAAGAGAGGACACAAACAAATGGAAAAACATCCCATGCTCATGGATAGGAAGAATCAATATCATGAAAATGGCCATACTGCTCAAAGTAATTTATAGATTCAATGCTATCCCCATCAAGCTACCATTGACTTTCTTCACAGAATTAGAAAAAACTACTTTAAATTTCACATGGAACCAAAAAAGAGCCCACATAGCCAAGACAATCCTAAGCAAAAAGAACAAAGCTGGAAACATCACACTACCTGACTTCAAACTATACTACAAGGCTACAGTAACCAACACAGCATGGTACTGGTACCAAAACAGATATATAGACCAATGGAACACAACAGAGGTCTCAGAAATAATGCCACACATCTAGAGCCATCTGATCTTTGACAAACCTCACAAAAACAATCAAAAGGGAAAGGATTCCATATTTAATAAATGGTGTTGGGAAAACTGGCTAGCCATATGCAGAAAATTGAAACTGGACCCCTTCCTTACCCCTTATACAAAAATTAACTCAAGATGGATTAAAGACTTAAATGTAAGACCTAAAAATCATAAAAACTCTAGAAGATAACCTAGGCAATACCATTCAGGACACAGGCATGGGCAAAGACTTCATGACTGAAACACCAAAAGCAATGGCAACAAAAGCCAAAATTGACAAATGGGATCTAATTAAACTAAAGGGCTTCTGCACAGCAAAAGAAACTATCGTCAGAGTGAAAAGGCAACCTACAGAATGGGAGAAAATTTTTGCAATCTATCCATCTGACAAAGGGCCAATATCCAGAATTTATAAGGAACTTAAACAAATTTACAAGAGAAAACAAACAACCCCATCCAAAAGTGGGTGAAGGATGTGAACAGACACTTCTCAAAAATAGACATTTATACAGCCAACAAACATAGGAAAAAAAGCTCATAATCCCTGGTAATTAGAGAAATGCAAATCAAAACCACAATGAGATACCATCTCGTGCCAGTTAGAATGGTGATCATTAAAAAATCAGGAAACAACAGATGCTGGAGATGATGTGGAGCAATAGGAACGCTTTTACACTGTTGGTGGGAGTGTAAGTTAGTTCAACCATTGTGGAAGACAGGGTGGCGATTCCTCATGGCTCTAGATCCAGAAATACCATTTGACCCAGCAATCCCATTACTTGGTATATAAAGGATTATAAATCATTCTACTATACATACACATGCACACGTATGTTTATTGCAGCACTATTCACAATAGCAAAGACTTGGAACCAACTCAAATGCCCATCAATGATAAACTGGATAAAGAAAATGTGGCACATATACACCATGGAATACTATGCAGCCATAAAAAGGATGAAGTCATGTCCTTTGCAGGGACATGGATGAAGCTGGAAACCGTCATTCTCAGCAAACTAACACAGGAACAGAAAACTAAACATTGCATGTTCTCACTCATAAGTGGGAATTGAACAATGAGAACACATGGACACAGGGAGGGGAACATCACACACCGGGGTCTGTTGGTGGTGGGGAGCTAGGAGAGGGATAGCATTAGGAGAAATACCTAATATAGATGACAGGTTGATGGGTGCAGCAAACCACCATGGCACATGTATACTTATGTAACAAACCTGCACGTTCTGCACATGTATCCCAGAACTTAAAGTCTAATAAAAAAAGAAAAAATCATCAACTACTTTATCATAAACGATTAAATATTTAAAAGTAGACTCATGTGACAAATCATGATAGTATCTGTGTCTACATTGTGAATATGTACAGAAATCATAGTTGTTTCTTGAGACAAGGTGTAGGCATGTACCTTGTGAGTGTTAAGTAATTATACTTTTTTAAAACTGCTGAAAATTTTACAGTTTACTATCATTTTTTGAAAATCAGTTAAAAATACATGGATAATCAAATACAGATTGCAAATATTCCTGGACATTTTAACAAAATAATATTTAATGAGTTACAAACAAAGTACTGTGTCTACTATTTATCAATTTATATGAGCCATTAGAAATCACATAAGCAGCTGTGGTTCACGAAAAATGCATTTCTATAAATGAGAAGAAAGGTAGTAATTTCAGTGAATAAATGAATAAATCTCATCACCTAAATGTGACGGACTTGCCATGTAATCAGAAAGACAGAATTAGAAAGCATTCCTAAATTGTGGAAGCAGTGATAAAACACTCTTCAAATATATCTTACACAGACTTCTGAAAATACAAAATGCATTAGAGCAGTGCTCTCAAGCCTATATTCTATAGGATACCAGATCCATCAACATTAACAGCAGTGCTGTGAAAATGAGACCCTTAGTCCAGCCAGTTTGGGAAGATTGTAATAAACAGAATTTAAACAGTTTATTTACGGCGGGTCACAGTGGCTCATGCCTATAATTCCAGCACTCTGGGAGGCCAAGGCAGGTGAATCACCTGAGGTCAGGAGTTCGAGACTAGCCTGGACAACACGGCAAAACCCTATCTCTACTAAAAATACCAAAGTTAGCCAGGCATGGTGACGGGTGCCTGTAATCCCAGCTATTCAGGAGGCTGAGGCACAAGAATCGCTTGAACCTGGGAGGCAGAGGTTGCAGTGAGCCAAGATAGCACCACTGCACTCCAGCAGCTTGGGTGACAGAGCGACACTCAGTCTCAAAAAAAAAAAAAAAGTTTTACTTACAGTACATCCAAGAATCCAAGAAAATGTAGTATGTCAGGGTTCATTATGAATCACCAAAAAGAGTTAGTTTTTGAAACATTTAAACCAAAGAATTAGACTTTCATAATATCTTGAAAGATTACTATTATACTTAATTAATACCTCTTTGGAAATACTGTGTAACCTTATGGTTTTGTCCAATGTCCTTGGGAAAAAATATTAAGAATAACTAATTGGGTACTATACACTCCTTAAATTATGTATCAACTTTCCTTAATAGTAACCTGAAGTATATGATAAACTGGTAACCTGTTCAACAGCTGGAACTACTATGATAATCTTCAGTAAACAGTGTTTCAAATCTGGCATTCCTCCTTACTATTATAAACTCCTGCCCTCCATCTACACAAATTCTACACAACTTTCATGACCCAGAACAAGTGTTGCATATACTATACACCTCTTCTCTTTCTCTGAACATCTGTAATTCTAACCTTATCCTGAACTGTTCAATACAGTAGCCTATAGCCACACATGGCTATTGGTGCTTTTAAATGCATCTTGTCCAAATTAAGATGTTCCGTAAGTGTAAATACACACAGGATTTCAAAGATTTAGTATAAAAATTATAAATGTCTCAATAATTTTATATTATGTTAAATTATAATATTTTAGATATATTAAATTTAATACATTTATTAATAAAATTAATTTCACCTGTTCAACTTTTTAAAACTATGGCTATGAGATAACAAAATCACACATGTGACTCACATATTTTTACAGAATGGTCTTGGCCTACATTATGCATTTTACTCAATTATATAACATCTTGTGCTAATTTTATAATATCTTTGCTACCTTCTTTTCCTATCACTACAGCATGTTCTTTAAGAGCAAGTGTCTACAAGATATATAGAACCCAAAAAAGTTTACGTAATATTCATGCAAAATAAATACGCTGATTTATTGCACCAAGTAAAAACTGAATTATTTATTTTAATTGTAAGCTGGTTCTGAAATGAGAGTTTAATGTGTATATTTGCCCTAGGAATGGTAAGGAACAGCCAAAGCTGTTTCTGCAATTCTATTTGCATGTGAAGCATGCACTCTAAGAATTGGCTTATTGAGGGATTTTTGTCTACTCTTCTTCTCATATTCCTGGACAAGGTTTGGAAGACATTATGGACTCTATTTTGAAAGCTTTCTGGAGTGTCTCTTTGGGATATCTGCATATATGATACCATAAATGTTAAATAAAAAATGCTGCTGATTTCACCCACATACTGAAAGTCTTGAAGACAGGAAGTATTTCCTATTCATCTCTACATTTATAAAAAGCATCATTATACATAGTACATAGGAGCTATATAAGTACTGACAATCTATAAAAAACAAAAGTTGACTGTTTTTAAGGATGCTAAGGTAGATTAGTAGGCAATCTATTATGCACATAATATATACATTATGTATATTATTATGTATATAGTAAACTAGTAGGTAATCTTTATAAGGTCTCTTGGTAATATGTTAAACAAAAACCCTTGCCAAGTCAAATTATGTTTATTAATACACTCATCTATTTTTTAGGCTACTGAAAATCCTAACAGCCGTAATCTTATCTGTTTCCTAAGGAATTACCATAACTTCATAGCAGTTAAGTGCTGAAAGCTCTAGAATGGCCATTGTTCATAAGCAAAGAGGGCTTTGCTGGGTTTTTTTGTATGATTTTCTAAAAAGTTTTTTAGAAATTTTTTTTTAGCTGAAAAAATCCTCTAAATAAGGAAAAATATCTCTTGCAGGTATCAAGATATTTGTGTGCCCATTTATTATTCTGGGTTAAAATATTAATTTTGCTCTCTAGGAAAAATAATGTAGTAAGCCATTATTAATTACATAATCCTCAGTAGAATTTAGAGGGCAGTCTCAGAAAGAATTAAATATGAGGCAGGAAGATTCTGCTTACTTTGAGAAAATATTTCAGGTGTGGGATGGTCCAGAGACATGTACTCTGGGAAGGAGATAACACAATATGCCATCATGACTTCAGGTTTTAGGGAACTGGGTGCTACTAATTAGGCTAACAGCCTAATTAGGCTAACAGCAGTCAGAAAAAAAAGTGTGTGTGTGTGTGTGTGTGTGTGTGTGTGTCTGCGTGCACGCATGTCAGGGAGTGGAGGGTGCCTCCAGGGTAGGGGATCGAGGAAATGTTAATAATGTAATGGGAAAAATATTGCATTGGAGTAAACACCATAAATTGGAACCTTAACTCTTCCACTTAATTGCTATGCAATATTGGGCAAACTTCTTTAGCGAATCTAGGATTGCTTTTCTGTGAGAAGCAAATATCAAGTTTGTGAGCATTAGCAATATTATATGTAAGGAGATGGGCACATCGACATGCTTCAAAACATAGTAACTATTAAAATTACCATACATGAGTGTGAAAAAAACACAAAATCTATTGTAACCCAAACCCACTAATTTTATAAGTGCCAGGACTTGATGATCCCATGGTTCTGAAGAAGGATTATACCAGATTAATTAAGCACTGATTAGCTAAAGTCTCTCTCCATACATATTTTTTTTCTTCAGTCAATTTTACTTTCCTTGAGAGGCAAAGGAGAGAACTGGAAGAGTAAGTTATGTACAGTTGGGTTTATGTACATTTTTAATTATACAATAATTTGTTTTATTACAGAGTTGGAAAAATTGTTTCATGTTAACAAATCATTACCATAATAGCAATTATATTGACTTTGATTAGATGTTAGATAGTATTTGATGGAAAAACAAAAGGGGTAATGAAATGATTAAATAGGATTTTCAGCAAATATTACCAGAATTTGTACATGTTCTTCATTTAGAGAAAAAGTAAATAACAAGTAGAGGCCCATTATAGCCTGTAGATCAATTCTGCTATTCTAATATTAATAAAATGTTAAAATATTTATGGGCTTGGCCTATAATATTTTAATTGAGTATTCTGTTACAATACCCTTTTTAAAAGTATTTAAAGTATAGAAATCTCAGAAGAAGATTCCAAATTACAAATCTGTTTCAAAATCACTATTTGCAAACCTAAAGACTGCTGACCAGCTGGGTACAGCAATGGGTTGGTTTCTTGTTACAAAAGATTGGGATAATCTTCGAGTCTCTGTGTATCAGACGCTTGAAAATGTATAGCAGACAGGTAAGGAGATTAGTGAAAAGATTGACAATTTGTTTTTTCATAAGTGAAAGATGAGTCTGTTGAAAAAAAATTGTTTTAAAGTTGTAGCCAAAACTGATACTTAGCTCAAAGACAGTCACAATAAATGTAAAGATTTGAATAATCTAAAAAGTTTCAAAACATTTATATTAGCATAACTATCCTATTCATGCAAAGCTTTATAGAGATTTCTGAAAACAATTTTTATTGATTCTTCATCACTTTTTTCAAAGAAGGTGCTCTTTTTGGACGGATGGGTTTGCACATTATCATCGAAAGGTCTCTTACAAAATTGATTTGAAATAGTTCTTTTGAAATTTAAAGGTCAGGAAGCATCCATTTTATTGCTGACTATAGACAAAAGTGAATTGAAGTTTTCTGCAAAAGCTGAATCCTTCCAGAGTTGAAATTCACCAAGATGAAGTTCACCTAAAATTTCATGTTCAAGTCTTGATTTGCAACATCAAGGGTCAAAAAGTATTTCACCATGATACAGAAAGTTTAAAAAAAATCTGTTTCTATTCCTGTTCTTACATAGCACCAAACCTAGCACAGCACCAAATACTGTGATATTGTGATATAAGAAATGTATATTTGGTGTCTGCCTCTGGTTCCTGGCAAATAGTTTCTAAAACCCTTGGGATCTACAAGCAGTGGTATCTTTTTCATGCTGATTAGATGACTAATCAGCATAGCCTGGATAGCCTCAGGATGGGGGAGTATTTGCCAGGGGAACCAGCCATATGATTAGAAAAAGAAAGGAACTTTCATTTCCCACCCACCCACACAACTTCAGGGGAAGGAAGAAGGAACAAAGGTTGAGTTGATCACCAATGGCCAATGATTTAATCAATCATGCCTAGGTAATGAAGACTCCAAATAAACCTAAAAGGGCAGATTTCTATATTTTAATTTTTAACTTTTAAATTTTTGTTGGTACATAATAGGTGTATATGTTTATGGGGTACATGAGATGTTTTGATACAGGTATGCAATGTGAAATAAGTACAACATGAAGAATGGGGTATCCATCCCTTCAAGCATTTATTCTTTGTGATACTAACAATCTAATTTACTCTTAAACAGTTATTTTCAAATGTATAATTACTGACTGTGAGCACCCTGTTGTGCCTATAGTCAATAGTATGGCTTAGTCATTCTATTTTTTTTTTTGTAACCATTAACTGTCCCCACCTCCACCCACCTCCCACTACCCTTCCCAGCCTCTGGTACCCATCCTTCTACTCTCTATCTCCCTGTATTCAATTGTTTTGATTTTTAGTTCCCACAAATAAGTGAGAACATGTGATGTTTGTCTTTCTGTGTCTGGCTTATTTCACCTAACATAATGACCTCCGGTTCCATCCATGTTGTTGCAAATGACAGGATCTCATTCTTTTTATGGCAGAATAGTACTCCACAGTGTATATGTACCACATTTCCTTTATCCATTCATCTGTTGATGGACAGTTAGGTTGTTTCCAAATCTTGTCTGTTGTTAAGAGTGCTGCAACAAACATGAGAGTGCAGTTATCTCTTGGATATACTGCTATCCTTTCTTTGGGGTATATACCCAGTAATGAGATTGCTGAATCATATGGTAGGTCCAGTCTTTAATTTTTTGAGGAACCTCCAAACTGTTCTCCATAGTGGTTGTACTAACTTATATTCCCACCAACAGTATATGAGGGTTCCAAAAAAGATGGATTTCTGAGAGTTTCCAGGTTGCTCAAATTGTGGAGCTGCCTGGACTGTGGCACCCCTTCTACCATACCTTAACCTATCCATCTCTTTAATCTGGCTAGTCATCTGTATCCTTTATAATATCCTTTATAATAAATGGGTAAAAGTAAGCATAGTGTTCTGAGTTATGTGAGCTGATCTGGCAAATTAATGAAGCCCAAGGAGGGGGTCGTGGGAACCCTAATTTATAATCAACTGGTCAGAAGCACAGATCTCAACCTGGGGCTGGCAAGTGGCATCTGATATAGGGGTAGTCTAGTGGAACTGAGACCTTAACCTGTAGGATCTGACACTATCTCAAGGTACATAGTGTCACAGTTGCATTTTAGGACACCCAGCTGGTGTCCAAAGGAAAACTGATGGCTTGATGTATGGAAAAAACCCACAGATGCATCTGGTTTCCATCTGTTCGGGAGAGTAGCAAAAACACTTGCTTTTCCTATCCCTAATAGTTATATTAGCTCATATTTCACTGTCATTTCTGTAAAATGTTACAGTTATTTCAAAAACTCTAATGCTTCATATACTATTGCTTGAGCAATAGAATGTATAAGACAATGAGCTAAGATTGTGTGTGTGTGTGTGTGTGTGTGTGTGTGTGTATCTGAGCAGGAAAATTATTAGGAAATGCTCTTGAAATCAGTATCTATGGGGAAAGGGAATAAAGAAGGATTAGGCAGAAAGGTGCAGTATCCAGAAAGACTCCAGCTCTGGAGCTGAGAGAGCCTGGGAGAGTTTGCCCAAATTAAAGAAACAAGGCTGGGCCCTTATACTCTTGTGTATTTTGATGTGGGCTGGCCCCTGGGAAGCGGGTATGACACTGGGCAAGGCAGCTGACTTCAACTGAGTGCAACTCCTGGAGATAAGTGAAGGATAAAGGCTGTCAATCAGTATCCCACTATCTGGAAGTCTCGAAAAGGATCTGGACAGTACGTTACAGACTCTAAGTAACAGAAAACCCAACCAACTCTTGCTTAACAAATAGCTAATTTTTTCTCACTTAACATAAGGTCTGCAGTGGAGGATTGCTGGCATTCACATTTGCCCCCTTTATTAGGAGAGAAAAAAGCTTTCTCAAAAGCATCCATTAGACTTCCCTTACATTTCATTGACCAGAACTGGAACACACCACCACACCTAGTTGCAAAAAAAAAAAAAAAAAGCTAGGAAAGTGGAAATAGGATTGTTACCATTTTGTGCCTGGAGCAGTGGACACTGCTACCCTGAACAATATCTGGGTTTTGTTAGCATACGAGAACAAAGGAAAAGATATTGGGAATTCAACTGATGGAATCTGCCACAAAACAGAACTCTAGAAAATTACTTCGAATACTTTCACATGGATATAACTTACTGAAACACTGCCCATATTGCTGGACATTTTGATTGTTTCCAACAGTTTGCTCCTATCCACTGTGTTGAAATAAATATTGCTGCCAGCCCACATCCTCATTGCCTTAGACTAAAATGCCAAACGTAGTTTCTGGGAAGAGAGAATTATCTCTTTGTTGACATGATAATTAATTTTTAACAGATTTTATTTTTTAGAGCAGTTTTAGGTTCACTAAAAAATTGAACAGAAGTTATAGAGATTTCCCATATACCCCCTGCTCCTACACATGCACAGCCTACATTTACACATCATTATCACCCAGAGTCTGAAATTTCATTAGAGTTCATGCTTGGTCTTGCGTATCCTATGGGTTTGGACAAATTTATAATGACATGTATCCACCATTATAGTATCATACAGAGTAGTTTCACTGCCCTAAAAATACTCTGTACTCACCCATTCAGCCCTTCCTCCCTGGATATCCCTGGAAACCACTGATCATTTTACTGTCTCCATAGTTTTCCCTTTTTCTGGACTGTCATATAGTTGAAATCATACAGTATGTAGCCTTTCCAGATTAGCTTTTTTCACTTAGTAATATGCATTTAAGTTTACTCCACCCACCACGTCTTTACATGGCTTGATTATTCGTTTTTTAACACTGAATCATTCCATTGTCTGGATGGGTCACACTTAATTTAACCATTCACCTACTAAGGAACATCTTGGTTCCTTCCAAGTTTTGGCAATTATGAAAAAGGCTGCTATAACTATCCATGTACAGGTTTCTGTGTGAATACAAGCTTTCAGTTCCTTTGGATACATTAATTTTTAAGCTTCCCTTTTATTGAAATATGACAGGAATGTCCATAAATTCTTGATTTGAGATAATTCATTAATTTATTACTTTAAGGTGATTACACAGGCAATGCAAACTAATTCCTTCATTTTCAACCTTTTTTATATCTTACATGAGAACATTTTCTATATTTCTGAAACTCACAGAACTTAATACACTTCAAAGAAAATATTTTTGTATTTTCTTCAGAGGAGTTACAAGGACTACAGTAAGAGTATACTCATTACTTCCTCTTATGCTATTTAAGTGTTTTTCTTTTTAATTTCTTCTTGGTTTAGCTAGTCAGCTCATAAAGCTAGCATGTTTTTTTCAATTTTTGGGAAACAAAGTGTGCTTTCTTTAAACAATCTATCAACTTGGGCCTTCCAGCTATCCACAGGGATTGACAGGTGGTAAATTACTTGGATCAATTAATACCACAAAAATGAGATCAGATATTTGATAATTCAGTAAGTTTTATATTTACATGGCCAAATTTGTATACACACAGTACAAAGTTATTTTCCAATATTCAGACTTTAAATGTTCTAATATAATTAAAGAATCATATGTTTTAAAGCAGGCGAAAATAAAAAACACCATGAAGTCTAAACCTATCATCACTGAAGTATGGCATATAAGACAGAGTGTACCTATCTGATATATTTTCATAGATAATTACCATTAGTAAAGTTCAGAGTTCATAAATAACAAGAGCTGCCAGTTACTGAGCATGCTTTGTATGATAGATACTATAACAAATGCCCTTCAATCATAATTTCATTTAATCTTCATAACAGCTGTATGGCATAGACAATAGTATGCCTACTTTACAGATAAAAAATCAAGGCTTATGTTAAATAAGTTGCACACAATTAAGTTACTAACAAGTAACTGGGCTGCAAATCTGATCTAGGCTATTTGTGCCAAACTATAACCTTCTAACCATAATATCACTGCCCTAGACTAGTAATCAGGCAGCTCTTGTCTTTCTAAGGCACTCTATTGTGACTGCCTATCAACTGGACCTACAAAGACAAGCCAAATTAATACATCAACATATTTCAAAAGAACTCAATGAATTTTAGCTGAATGAACAAAGAAATGTTTACTAAATCTACAATTGATACAGCATATTTAAATGACCATCTTGCCCACCAAATATGTTAAATAGAGAATGAAATCAAAGTCCCCGATTTCAAAATTTCTAGTGCATATTTTTACCTTTAGCTTCCTTGTTCTAGGCACTAGACTAGCAGGATTTATTAAAAGCATCAATAGATATTTTCTTCATCTATGTTTTAACATGTTTTTTCTTTTTTATCAAATGAGGTACATGTTAAGAATACACAGTTGTCTTCCTGCAGTTAAAAGTGTTCTAAGCTTTTTAAGGACCGCTAGCTTAGGTGGAATATTAGTGTTATCATGTAAAAATAATGTTAAGTGGCTTTCTCAGTTTGCATCCAAAGGAGTAAAACTACAAACGAAGTAAAAAAAAAAAAACTAGGTAATATGGTGCTCAAGTGAAGTAATAACTTTTAAGAATATGTATCATAATTGTACAGTTTCCCAAGTTGTTTCTATTATTATCTTAATCTATAAAACAACCCAATGTACAGAAAACTGTCTCCAAGATACCCTAACTCTTTTGTATTCATACTTAGCTATTCAATTCCAAATTCAATATCCTTGCCACTCTACTAGGGAATGATCTTCTGGGTACTATAATATGTGAAGTACGACCATAGATTTTTCATTCTCTTAGCAACTCTATATATTTATTGAACACTATGTGCCAGGCACCTGTTATGCACTTGAGGTCTGTGTGTGAACAAGACAAAGTGGTTCCTGCCTCCAGGGTGGCTAAAAGAAGCTGGGTCTCTTATACATGACTCTTAGAATCAGTCTAATGGTTCAAAATTATTTATTCATGGTTACTACACATGCAATTTTAGAATATCAGATTTTACTCTTTCAAAAACAAACTAATCATGAACATTAGAAAATAACATGTTGCTACCACGGATATGTAGGACTTGCTCCTGAGATTCTCAATGGGGTGTCACAGGCATGCTGAGGTGGTAATAGGAATCCTAATAAAATTTATTTTAAGATTCAGTTATATGTGGGGCACAAGCTGTTCTCTGGAAAGGAAAGAAAAATTGTTTTTTGTTCCTGTTTTTAGTTTAGAGATGTAGCATGTCTACATACTTTTGTGACACAAGGGAAAATACTGGTGGCATACTTTATTAAATTGTTCCTACTGCCTTATATTCACACCTGATCCTCTAAACACAACACACAAATTTTTTTACTAACTTCAGTCCTAGCTAATCACCTCCCATTCAAAAGAGGAATTTTACTTTTATCTATTGTATTTCAGCCAATACACTACTGGCAATATAAATAATCTTCATTATTAACGGTTATGGGCCAGGAACGATGCACTAGGTGCTTTACATATTTTTCTTCATGATAATTACTATTATCCCTATTTGTCATATAAGAAAATAGTCTCAATGAGGGTAAATGTCTTTTACAAGGTCATACAACTACTGCACGGCAATGGTCGCAAATCCAGGACTTTGTGGCTCCAAAGCTGAAATTCTCAACCACTAGTGAAATATTGCTTCTCATAATAAAAATGAACTAAATGTCTACTGAATACATTGCAGAGATGTGCCTTTCATTCTTGTGTCACAATGACATGGTTTGGCTGTGTCCCCACCCAAATCTCATCTTGAATTCCCACGTGTTGTGGGAGGGACCAGGTGGGAGGTGATTGAATCATGGGGCAGGTCTTTCCCATGCTGTTCTCATGATAGTGAGTGAGTTTCACAAGATCTGATGGCTACTGTAAGGGGGAGTTTTCCTGCACAAGCTCTCTTTGCCTGCTGCCATCCACGTAACATGTGACTTGCTCCTCCTTGACTTCCACCATGATTCTGAGGCTTCCCCAGCCACGTGGAACCATAAGTCCAATTAAACCTCTTTCCTTTGAAAATTGCCCAGCCTCAGGTATGTCTTTATCAGCAGCGTGAAAACGGACTAATACACACAATCTCTCCATTCTGTAATTTTTATGCCTTTGTAATTAGTATGAAGTCTTTTATATGTTGTTTTTAATAAGTACAGGGTAAAGTGACAGCAATTTTACATAAGCTAACTCAATGCAATGTCTCTAGTATATAGTAGAAAACTTCCACATTCTAAAAGTCACAGATTAACACATTATACCATACTGTTGGGTATTTTTTAATTACTGCTTTACTTTTATTTGTCTGCACACATCAAGGAAAACGTAGATTTCTTAAAGGCAAGGATTATTGTGAAGAACTGTTCTTGTCTTATGCTTCTACTTTCCATAGGAAACCATTTCTTCTCCTTAGGAGAGGAGACTGTTGGAAAACATAACTATCAGCCCCTCTCACTATCTCCTCACAGCTCCTTCTCCTAATATATCTGAGTATCCAGAACTCAAGATGCTGCAGGGACCCCTGCATAAGTGAGTTAAAGGTTAGTTTCCATGCATGGTACACCCACTTGTCCTCTTTACTGCATCTCACCCACACTACTGGTATAGTGCTGTCTCTCTCCCTAGCCTTTCCACTTCTTGGTAATTTGGACTTGACTTCTGTCTTATGCATAAATTACATGATCTTGACCAACAAAGGGCCAGGCCAGCTTGGCACTAGGAACTGGGGGGCAAAAAACCTCTTTCTGACCATCTATCTCATTCTCCGTATAAACTAGTACATGTGCTTCACACCAGGTTTTATACCCCCCGCCCCCATACTCAGATTGTTACAATGCAGTTATGAAATGGCCCGAAACACAGGGAGAAAGAAGACTCATCAATTCTTCTGCTAAAAGCAGCATCTGTCAATCTCTTCTCTGGGGAGTCCTGTGTTGGGAAGGTTTGCCCAGCCCTTTCTTCCACTTTTTTATAAACCCTACAAGAACCTAATGCATTATGAACAGAAATAATCACTCAATCAAGCTAGTCCAAAGAGAAACAAGAAGTTATAAGGCAAGGTAAAGTTCCTTAAATATTTTTAGATATGATAGTAAATTGTCATTAGATTGTTTTGACTTTTTAAAGAACATAGCATAAACTTTGAAGCTCTTTTCCAATTTGTGTTAGCTATTACATATAAAGTTTATATTTCTGGTAATATTTTTATGTCATATGAGCAGAGTTTCAAATTTTCTATTTTCAAGTTGCTGCTGATGATAATAACCATTTTGTTCCAAGTACTAGGAAGAAAACCTTGGTGCCAATTAACAGCTGCACCTAGCATCTTGCCCAAAGAAGTGTTCCTTCCTAATCACATAAAAGAGCTGACTAGGGATGACAAAGTAACCAGATGGCAATTTGGCAAAGGCAACAAATGCAGGCCAGAACTGGCCTTAGGGCAAGTGGAATCCTATCACTATTGTCTGGGAACAAGTGGCCAAGAATAGCCTGTCTTTTAAAGTTTGTAAATTTATGTTTGTTATCAAGCTCACATACATACAAATATTCACAAATCCATGAAAGCCCCGGTGGTGTTAAAATGTGAGGAGGAATATTTGAGAGCTGAAAATGAAAATGCTTTGTCCTTTAGTGTAAGTAAAAAAGTAGCAAAGATTTGTAAGCAATTACATGCATCCTGATGAAATCTCTATTCTGACCTTGACCAGTTTTTTGTGGATAATTTTACCAGCAAGAAACAACTACTGTGTTGGTTCTTAAAACAACAATGTACAATTCTTTGAGCTTTCTGTACAATGCCTGTCCCAGGACTCATGACAGAGCAGATTATACTTTTCATCTTGAATGCAAATATGCCTGAAAATGTTCATATTTATTTTTTGGGAGGACTCCTTTCTCTAGTTAGCATCTGACCCAGAGCTGGATGGTTGAATTCATTATTCTAGATGCGCCTGCTAAGTCACATGGCATTTCTGTACTTCAGTTTCTCGACCAACTGTAGTTATCACGCCTCAGAGCCAAATCACAATGCATAAATGTTTAATCCTCTGCAGTCTCATGCCGCTATCAGAATGACTATGCCAGAAAACCTTTTATTGTTCCACAAACAATAACAAAATGCAAGTAGATATTAATTCTATCCCACATCTTCCTTCTCTACTGGTATCTGTAAATATCCTGGGTCTCCAAACTAAACTATATGCTTTACACTTCTTTCTCCTAGTAAACAACAAAACTCATACTATATTGAAAATATGCCTTTCACCTCTTACCACAATATTTAAAGTTAAACAGACACACATAGCTTTTCTGTTAAGAAAATATCAGGGATAAAATTGTAAGAATGCTTAATGAAGAAACTAAACGTTTAAGAGCTCCATGTGTTGGCTATTCAACTGCAAAAGTAAATAGGTATATGTTTTTGTATATAAGGCAAATACACAGAGAAAGGTAGAAAAAACACAAATTCTGCAGGATATAACAGGATAAGAAAAAAGGAACATTACGAATATTAAACACAACGTCTCTATGGTATATATATGTATATATACATACATATATACACACATCTATATATATACATACATACACACATCTATATATACATATATACACTAAACATACTTGCGCACATCCATATGCTCAGTGCACGTCATAAGCCAACTGTCTCAGACTTGGAATTACAGAGCTGCAAGGGGCACTGAGAGGTCATCTGAGGAGATCCTTTCCTTTAGGCAGTTTAATGCTTAAACCATCCAAAGACCTGACTATCTATTCTATATTTAGAACTCTCTAGGGTTGGGGATTCATTACAGACCACATTGTATTGTACTTGTAATAGACTCAGAGGTGCCTTTCTTGACAAAACCATATTTCACAGATCCTTGGTCTGACGGGCTTCTATGAGTACCTTCTAAATACATACTTCCTTCCTTCTCGTGACAACATGGCAGCTAAAGGACTTAAGTTTTACATGAAAACGCAGTCAAAGAGTTTAAAAAATACAGACCTGTACATAAAAATGACCTTAATTTTTGCAACCCTGCTGTCAGCCACAGTATAGCCATCCATTTCTAAAGCCCCTGGGCTAGCCCTAGGCAAAAATATAAAGAAACTACATTTTTTCATATCTACACCCCTCAAGTCCTCTTTATTGTGTGTAGCAAACTTCTCTTGCCATTAGTTACCAATGCTTAATCAGGTTCATCAGATTTTTTTCTATTCCCATAGTAATAGTCTCCTATCCTAATTCTTATTCACTCAGGTCACTTCTCTTTGAAGAGTGTTAATATGAAATATACTAATCCAGGATAAATATGCAAATATGGTTGAAAATGTTCATATTTATTTTTTGGGAGGAGTCCTTTCTCTAATTAGCATCTGACTCAGAGCTGGATGGTTTAATTCATTATTCTAGATGCGCCTGCTAAGTCACATGGCATTTCTCAGGATAAGATATTAAGAAGGAGCTAATGGAGTAATATTAACATTTCACAAAACTATAGTTTCTAGTTGTACTAAAACTTAGTATGTAAATTTAGTATGTAAAACTTAGTATGTAAGACTTAGTATGTAATTGGTATACATACTAAGAAGTCCAGAAAATAATTGGTTTTGATATTTTCACATTTCAGCATTTATTTGGTAATCTTCTAAGTAGTGGCTCTGCAAAATTCAACCCTACTTTTAAACTCTTGGAAGACTTCTTAATATAAGACTACAATGATAGAAGCTACATTAAAGTCTTATTCACAAAGAATACTGAAAAATATATACTGATAATAAAACAGTGAAGATATGACTGCTACTATATATTTTTTTAAAAAATCCTTTAACTCCACTATCTCAATGTTGAACTTAAATAAAAATAAAATTAAAAGATACCCTAGAGGAATATACATTAGTGCCCATACCTCATAACCCAAGCAGGAATGTGAAGTTGGTGGTATGGGATGAGCAATGGAGAAGAGTGGAAAGTGGGAAGAATAAGTAACAGAATTTAAAGAATTGTTTAAACACGTTTCTTTTGCCAAGAAATACTACTACTTAACTGCTTCAAAAAAGTAAACCAATCTAAAAGGAGGCAATGAATATACGTGGTAGGAAATTGAAAAGCTTTCTTTCAGCCATGGTTTTCAGTCTCAAGAGCACAAAGAGCTGAATTTTAGCCAATTTTCTGACTGTTTTTTTGTTGTTGATGAGCTTGCTTTTTCTTCTGCAACTGTTTCTAATGTCTTCCAAAAAGAAAGGACGAAATTAACTCTTTTATTTGAAATTGTGTATCACATGATCAGTAATTACAGATACAAAGCCTTTTCATCTTTAAAAATATCACCAGTCCTTCAAGACACTATATTCATCTGTGGTGTTTACTCATATTTATCATTCTCTCCCTCAAAGCAAAGTGAGACAGAATAAGAGGAACCAAAGTATTATAAATGACATTTTTTAAAATAGCAAATAGATGTTATAAATAGAATGTCATTTCCAGTGCAGATTTCTTACAAATGTCTTAAGCCAAGTTTAGAAAGCATTCTTCGCTGTGGCTCAAAAAAACCCTAAAATTTTAATTGTAGCTTCCACAGCAGCCAATTAGAGAATGTCATGGTTCGATGGTGCCAGGATATGTTTATGAGTGTTTAGTGGATACAGAATTGAGTTTGTGTGTGTGTGTGAGTGAAATCCGATAAGGGAGGTAATTACCATCTACCACAAGGTATGATTTCAACGGTGGCCAAAAAAAAAAAAAAAAAATAGCTACTGTATTTTATCAAATCTACAATGTCATTGATTTTAAGACATATGATTATTTTATGCATCACTAAGAATGAAATAAAAAATGCCTCCAATCTATGATGCAGTGTTTTTTAATCACACCAATTTTAAGAATGCATTCTTGTTCTCAGAGATGTTAAAATGTGAAAAAAAAATCTAACATGGTATTTCTCCTAAGTGATTTGTCAACAGGTTTTGGATACTCACAGAGTCATGTCTTTAAATAAGGTTAGGATTCTAAAAAGCCCTTTTAAAATGCAAACATTTTACCCAGGAGGTGCAGCACATTAAGCCATTAACAGTCATTAAGATGCATTAATCTATTAGCAGTCATTAAAACTGTAAAGAATATTAATTTATCAGATTATCACAGCAAAGATGAAAGGGAAAAACGATGCAGAAAAAGATACCAAGAAAGGGTAGATGCTCAACTTGTACACTTTATTAGGGTGCAACACAAAAGAGGCCTTGGTTACACTACACCATGGGGGGGAAAAACCAGGAAATCACAGGCAGCAAAGTGACAGTTTATGGACACAAAGCACAGAGAAAGAGAGGAGCAAAAAACAAACAAAAAAATAGAAAAGGAAAAAGGTACACTTTACAGTTTTTACCTATATTCTAACCTAAAGACAAATTAGAGATTCATAGGCTAAAGGAGGTACCTGTTAAGAAATCACATTTCTATTAAGGCCTCAAGGAATATTTAAAATGGGGATTTCCTAATGATAGTTGTAAGTATACATTTCGTTATACAATATCATCATATTGGTAAATGATAAGTACTTTGTTCTCTGTACTGAGAAGCAGTTTACTCATTTATGGTTTCTAATTCATATGTTATGATCAGTGACACCTTTTCTCTCTTTAAGGCTTCAGACAGACACTGATGTAGATGAAAATGAATCACAGTATTTGCTTTTGATACTAAGAGCAGGGTTCAAAAAGTCACCCAGGGTTAAACATCTTAGGTTTTATAAACAGCTGTGCCACTGATTTCCTGCAAGACCTATTGAAATGATTTAACCTTATCCCACAGGAGTATAAGAACCTGACACATATCTCTTGAGGGTGGCAGTAAGCACTTTTATTTTATGAGAGAAGGGACACATAAAAATATGTAATGTGCCTGGGACCTAGAGCAAGTCTCTTAACTCTTTGGCTGCCTCATATCTAAAGTAGAACTGCCCAAAGACAGCATCCTAACCAGATTATTTCTTGGTGATCAAGATCCAAGATTTATTGTTCTGTTCCACTCCTAGACAATGCAAGATAGTTGAGAGCTGTTGAATACATTATTCCCTGAAAGTAGGCAATTTTGTAACTCAACATGAAAATGCTTAATTGTGAGGAACCTAATGTGGCACAATATGAATTGCAATTCAATTCAGTGAACGCACTGAACACCTGCCATCAAAAAAGTACCATGTTATCTGTGTTAGATTGGTCTCTAATGAGGGATGTAGTAATCCTTTGTGAAAACAAAATATCTTCCATTGATAATAATGCCTCACTTCCTTGAAATTGTTGTAGAAAGCACAGATAAATATTTTAAATTTAATTACATATTCAATTGTCAAAATCATTTCATTGTAGACATTTTCAGTAGAGAGATTTATATACTGTATTCAAGTATAATCCATTAAACAAGACTAATATTTTGCTTGAGGACTGGGGACATTATTCATCTCCATCCCTCTTGTCTTTCAGAATGGAAGGGCATACAGATAACAGTGGCATATGTTTTATGTCAGCACTTCCTCCTTATTACTTTATTATCAGCACTGGTACCTTCTTTAGGTCTCAAATGAGATGCTTTCCCTAATCACAAGGCAGACTTACTCCTCTGTTCATCACGTATCCATATTGTACATTTGACTTCTTTTTCAAAGATCAATATTGAAAATCAACATTTAAAAATTATTCATTTAATCATGTTTCTCATGTCTGCCTTTCAAGTACTCAACTAGGGAGGAGGCCATGTTCATTCTTTTACCTCCCATGAGTGATGACAACTTTTATCTCTATAATAGTAGGCTGCCAGAGAAACAAATCAGTCAATAATATGTAGGAGGTCCTCAGAAGGCATCTGTTGAATGAATGCAGGTTGAAATAAAGGTCCAGGGAAATAAAAAGCAGTTTCTCCTCACCAAAGATTGTAGATCCCTAATCCGCACATATTGTGAAGGTGTGAATGTACCTTCTCATGCTCTCTTCAGGTCGTTCCTTCACTCAATACTGCTGACTCTCAGATACAACAGCGAGTGACACTGATGGGAATACTGTCCTCACATGGGCTAGAGACGGATGGTGATTATCCTCACTCCTATTCCCTAGGTCAAGGTAATCCAAATTCTTGTCAAAACCCTAAGGAATATGGAAGTTTTGGCACAGAGGCAGGAATTGTTCCTTTCTTTTGTATCCAACTATGTAGAAAATCTAGAACTGCAGCAGTCACTGTCATTTCAGGCTGGCAGGTAAAGCACACTATTCCTTTAGGTATGGAAAGTTGCATTTCCTGTTCTCCCCTCTCTGCCCTCACATTGTCTCCACTAAGATCATCACCACATTGCCATTCCTTGTTTCAGAGTTCACACTTCTCACCCCAGGAGTCCAGAAACTATGCCAAGTGTTTCACACCATCTGCAGGCTGAGCAAACACTTTACCTGGTTAAGTTCAGAACAATTGCACCAAGTTTTCACTTTTCTAGCAGTTAATTTGAGTTGTATGTTTAAAATGTAGCATGCTCTCATTTTTATTCGATTAATAAAACCTTTCAATAAAATACTGCTACATGTTCAGTCTGTTGCACTGTCTCTTCAAAATATCATTTGTCTGAGGTTCTACTATCAGCTTCCCTACCCTCCATGCTCCAGCAATATTTTTTAATGGACACCTAGGTACAACTCTCTAAAGAAAAATTTTAAGAAGTCAGTCAGATCTTCAGCCATCCCCACCGAACATTTTGGTGTCACTTAGAAACTTACTCTTTGGTGCAAATCTTTCTGCCAACTCCCAACAGGGGCTGCTGACAGATCAAGATGCTATGGGATTGGCCAGTACTGTGTTTTGCTTCAAATGAGAGCCTTCTTGTCTATTTCTTTTTACCTCAGTATTGTGTTGTCTACTCTGTAACATGACAATCAACTAATGTAATAATAAACTAGGCACAAACTTGTCACTTTCGAGCCATGGCAAAATGTCTTACAGGTTTCAAGACATATATTCACAATTTAACAGAATCTCCTCCCCTAGGTGCTATTTCTAGACTAGTGCTAGATACTTCAAGCACACAGCAGTCACTGGGGAGATATTTCCATTTTGATATGCTTTATGATATTTCTCATAATACTGTTTTCTCTTTGTAGAGGGGGGCACAAGCAACATACATCTAAAATTTTATGGTATTATTTATTTATTTGTCCACCTTTAGCTGACAACTTATTGTATAGATAAAATCTAAATGAAACTTCTCAAATTAACAAATAATTACTCTAAAAAGGAAGTTCACTCAAATATTTGGGAAAATATCCTTCAAATATATTTTCTGCAGTGAACTGAAATTGTCCTTAACACTGCCAGATTGTGACAATAGAAAGAATTTAATTTACAATGATTACTAGTGTTGTCTGTACAACTGCCTTTGAGGTAAAAAATCTAGTCAGAGAAAAAGCTCAAGTCAGACTATAGCTGAGTGAGTACCTTTTCAGAGTTATTATAACATAGTTCATTGTTCATTATTTGTTCCACTATCACATGCATTCTTGCACGAGTGTGTGTGTGCATGCATGTGTGTGTGCACTGTGGGAGAGCAGCACTGATAGCCCTTCGTAGGGAAAGTAAGCAATATCAAAAGGACTCCACCCAGAGGTAACTTCACTAAGTTGTTATGATTCCAATCTCATCTGCCAACCTCCCCACCCTTCTCCTTTTATAAAATGCAAATAAACCATTATAGACTTTGTACCTAAACCTTTATCAGGTTTCACTGGTAGTAAGGAATTAGTTATTACCCCTGCAAGATGGTTAAAACCGGATACAGGGTTGTGTGTGTGTGTGTTTGGAGGTCATAGGGTGATAGGAATTATATGAATGGGAGGAAAGCTAACAAGGGAATTAAGACAAATTTCATCTACTCTGTAATTTTGTTTATAAAGAATAATGAATATTTTACTCAGCATCATCTTTAGATGGCATCATTTAAATATTTCCTCAAGGTCTACCAATTTTTCAGAAGTTTTCTATTTCAGAATAATTACAGAAAAATCATAATTTATGTTTCTCCTTATACCATTATACCAATTGAGAAAATTGAGGAGATAAAACTGAGATAAAAGAGAAAATAAAAAATATTTTTGTGTGTAATTACAAATGGATGTCCTTCATTTCAAAAACAATTTAAAATCTAATATAATTTAATTAAATATAATTTTATTAAAGCAAATATCAGTAAAAAAATAAAGGTAATACCCTTTATTAAACCATTTTTTAAACTGTTCTTCCATTCAAGTGTCAGAGACAAATGCAATTTTCCTTCTGGATAAAGGTATTAGTTAGGTGTACATTTCATCAAAGTGTTAGGTGTAATATTTACTTTTTCAAAAGTCAATCTTTCCTCTGAGCTTCTATTGTTTCCTTAAATTTTCCTTTCCAAAATAGAGGGGAACTACTTTTACTAAAAATTATTCAATGATACAAAATTATCTGCAATTGCCTAAATAAGAAAAGCTTTAATAATTAGTCAATTCTTTTCCTGAAAAATTAGCCTCAGACACTGTGGCTGTTACCATTATCCACATGTAACTCTCTGATAATATAACAACATATCCTGTAATGCTTCCTTCACCACTGAATAAAGCAAATTGACTATAATATCTAGAGAGACATCGGTAAAGAATAACACAAAGACTGGTCCTACTGCTTCTGGGCTAACAACAATGAAAAACAATAATTGCTCTGATTGAACCAATTTTGCTTCCTAGAAAATTCCATTCATCATAATCATACATAACCTAATTTCTATTTTTTAGGTCAAATAAAATGAGTCAAATCAAAAACAACTGTATTCTAGTGTTTCAAAACCATAACTCTTATTTTCCAAAGTATAAGAAGTCATATTTCATAATAATTAGACAAAAGCAATTCAATTTCACCCTAAATTTAAGAAAAAATATAAAGTTAAAAACAATTTATTTGTAGTACATAATTAAAGTTATCTTTAGGGTTTTTTCCAACATTAATATAAAAACCTTTTTCTCAAAAACATCTGAGCATCAAATCATTCTTCTTTTCCTCCACACAAATTAACTGTGCCCACAGCCTCTACGTACAACTAACCAGTTATTGCCTTTATGACCTCTTACTGTATCCCAAATCCTATGACCCAAACCATCCTCCATTTTTTCTAAATCCAACCCTTAGATGTTTACCAAATGACTTCTTTTATGGGCTGTGGCTGTCTCACACTCTCAGAGGACTGGGCAAAGTAGAGAAAGACAGATAAAGGCACCTCAGTCAGCTGACTCACCAGCTGAGTGTCTGCTCTACCAGCCCAGAATATTTCTTTTGTCAGTAAATCTAGAAGCTACCACTGGGTCTGCCAATTCACATCTTGTTCAGGCTGGCAATTACTGGGAAATTTAATTTTTTAATCAAAAAGTTGTTCTTTGAAGTTTCAATCAGGGAAAATAAAATTGAGGAGCCTCTTGGAACCATGGAAAATGCATATTAACGACCCCTGCAACTGTTCCTCTGTCTCACTATTTTGCTTTTTCTTTTACTTTTTCTCCTGTTTCTTTCTTAAATATTATTTTTACCCCTTTCCTTCCATTGTCCTCTCTTGAGATGGGTTGCAAATGGGAAGTAAAAGCAAAAAGGGAGATGAGAAATACTGATGCCTTTTTGTCTGGCTTACTTCCATTCGCATGTCAAGTCCATCCATGTTGTAGCATGTACCAAAAGTTCATTACTTTTGCATTAACTTTTGTATATCATATTGTGAAAATTTTTCCCTTGACAACAAAACTGACATTTTATATGAATTAAAATTACTATGACCACTAGCTGATTATTATCAAATGCTTACTTTGTACAAGGAAATTCCTTTTTTTTCTTCCAATTTCTATTTTAGTTGCAGGGGGTACATGCACAGGTTTGCTCCATGGGTAAATTGTGTGTGCCACTGGTTTGGTGTACAGATCATTTTGTAACCCAAGTAATGGGCACAGTACCCAAACAGGTAGTTTTTCTATTGCACCAGGAAGTTTTCTAAATGTTTTGAATGTATCAGCTCATTTGACCTTCACAACAACACATGAAGTAAAGATTACTGTTATGCTCATTATATATATATATAAAGAAATTGAGACAGAAAGAGTCTAAATAACTTGCATAAGCATATCTAGCTAGTAAACAGTAGAGCAATTATTCAAACTCGTATAGTCTAGTACTCAACCTATAGTCTTAGCAACAACATGCCTTTTACATTATGATGTTCATTTTGAAGTGTTATTTGTTGTCGAAGCCATGAAATATTTACTGAATATCTATATACAGGTATTCCCTGTCTCAGTTTTTCAAGCCTTAACAGGAGTGATACTTATTCATAAGATGGTGAGAGGGTAGATGACTGAGAGAATATGCTAATTCTGTGATTCAAAATAGGATTTTTAAGAAGGTGGCTCATCCATAATAATGAAGTCACAGAGGGAAGAGTTTTAGACAGGAGATAAACAAATTTTTTTTTTTTGAGACAGAGTCTTGCTCTGTCACCCAGGCTGGAGTGCAGTGGTAAAATCTTAGCTCACTACAACCTCTGCTTCCCAGGTTCAAGCGATTCTCCTGCCTCAGCCTCCCGAGTAGCTGGGACCATGGGTGCCTGCCACCAGGCCTGGCTAATTTTTGTATTTTTAGTAGAGACGCGGTTTCACCATGTTGGCCAGTCTGGTCTCGAACTCCTGACCTCTAGCACTCCACGCACCTTGGCATCCCAAAGTGCTGGGATTATGGGCGTGAGGCACCGCATCTGGCCATCAATTATCTCTTTACTCTTAATTTCAAGAGTTGCTTTATGATACTTCAGAAAGTTTGTTCCAACTCTAAAAAACTGTCTGCAGTTAGAAGTCTTAAAAAATGCCTAAAAATTATCTTTAGTTATCGTTTCTCCACTAAACATAACAAAAGCAAAATATAATTTATATATATATATATATATATAACTACATAAGCAATACATACATCAAACTCCAACAACTTCCCTGTTTTACAAAATCAAATACGTTTATAGGAAAAAGGTTTATAGCCATAAGAAAATTTAGTCTATTTTTTAATCTTTGTCTTTTCTGTCCTATCATACATTAGGAGTGCTTCAACTTTCCTTACTTATTGCTTATTCATTTTAGATATGTCCTATATTTTTTAAAGAGGCCATAGGCACAAAACCATGAAAGTTCCAAATCCGCATAGAAACAAAACCATGAAAGGTTCTTAAGTATGTTTGTAATTACACCAGCTAGAAATGGTACAGTTTAATTGAGTAAAGGGAAATTATGTTAAGCATTCAGGAAATACTTTCTAATAAAAGCATCAGATTGTGTAAAAACAAGTTAAGTTACTGGACATCCACAACTAGAACCACTCGAGGAAACTGTTAAAATATTTTTAGTGATGGCTCACGCCTGTAATCCCAAGGCTTTGGGAGGCCAAATTGAGAGGATCTCTTGAGGCCAGAAGTTTGAGACCAGCCTGGGCAAAACAGCAAGACCCTCTCTGTACAAAATTTATTTTCAAATTAGCTGGGCATGGTGGTGCACAACTATAATCCTATAGCTACTCTAGAGACTGAGGCAGGAGGATCCCAGGAGTTTGAGGTGAGCTAGGATTATACCACTGCACTCCAGCCTAGGCTACAGAGAGTGAGACCCTGTCTCTAAAAAATAAATTAAAAAAAAATTATACTTCGGAAAATATCTTGCACATGTTGGAGACATGAGGACATGCAGTTAGATAACTCTCCATTCCTGCCATATTACCTATGTATTCCATATCCTATCCTTAGGTTATCTCTGGGCTATATCCATTTTCTTCTTCTTTAACTTTACATTTTCCTTCTTAAACACACAATATCAAGAGCTTTCACTCAATTATTTTCTTCGACCAAAGAAAACTGATTTTACTTGATCTAATTGTTCCTCCAGTGTCCCAGAGTACTATTTTATTTACAATATAAAGCAACAGCTATATAAAACTAACTAGAATCACTTCCTACACCAGCATCACCAGAAGTCTGATGATCTCCAGAAACCAAAAAACAATCTCCCTGAGGATGTATGGTGTGTGTTTTTGTGCATATATGTATGCGTAAGTTTCTCCTTTAGGATAAATGGTGAAAAAAATCACCTTGGACATTCAATGTTTATTTAGCCACTTCCAAAGATTAATATTTATTCATCCACCAAAACAATTCCACATTTGCGGAGCATATCATATAGAATTTTATTGAAAAATATGAACATGCTTTATATGTCCATAATTTAATCACCACAAACTTCTCGCCTTAGGAGCAAAATGATCAGTTCATGAGCCTTGAAAGAATTACAATTATCTTTCAAGAATGTACTATTGTTCCCTTACTATTGTTGTCATTTCAAAAGTCCAGCATATTCATGTGGTATGGTTTATCATCTCCCCACCTGCTTTTCTCATATACCGAATTCTAATGAATTATTCCTTATAAGACAACCAGCACGCTCATTAACACTTATTTATATTCAATTTTCCCTAGTAAGGGCACATAATAATATAATAAATGTCACATTTGGAACTTCGAGTTTTCCAGCAAAGCCTTCACAACTTCAAACAAAAATTAACATCAAATATTTGATCTTTCAAAAAAAAGCCAATATAAAAGTATGTGGTTAAAATACTGCCCTAAAAATGGGAGAGAGTAACAGAAATAGAAAAAAAAATTATATCAGAGACAAATTGTTTCCATTTACCAAAACTGTTAAATTTTTCCCTGTTACTGTATTTTTACTATAATTTCAATAAGCTTCATTTTAAAGCCAAAAGCAACCATGAAATTCCAACTCTGAAAAATCCTAGGAATACTTTGTTTATGCTCTAAATTCATTTGATTATATTAATTTGCTGCAGTTTAGGCTTGAGCACACTACAACAATTTTTACTTTCAAAGTAAACTAATGCATTCCAAAAATTTTAATAGCTCCAGATTTCCATTTAGGCAATCAATGCAATGCCTAGGTTGTGTATCCCTTATCCAAAATGCTTGAGACCAGAAATGTTTTGGATTTCGGATTTTTGAATATTTCCAATATACTTTCTGGTTGAGCATCTGAAAATCCAAAATCTGAAATACTTCTCTGAGTATCATGTGGGCACTCAAAATTTTGGATTTTGGAGCACTTTGGATTTCAGATTAGGGACATTCAACCTGTATTTGCCAGGCTTACTCTGAACATGTAAATAAAGCAGGCCCAAAACAACCAGAGCTGTGCATCGTGCTTCAAACAGAACATATTTTGTCACTTGCTATGAGATACTGCTTAAATGGTTTAGGCATTTTGTATACACGGAAAACGCATATGAAAGAGCTAGTCTTGTGAAGAAAAGCAGTAATAACTCCCTTGATTCTAGGCTTACAAATGCAATGATGAATTTAGCCTCCAACATCAGAGTGATTTTTTCTGGGGCAGTGGGTGATGACTTGAGGAGGTTCATGCAAAAAGAAACATAAGAAAAATTATAAAATGGATGAATTTCAGTGACTACTTTGATAAGACCTACAAGGTATTCAGAAGGTCAGTCTCTAAGTGTACGCCATCAATAGTATTCCCCACATACTGACTCCTCAAACAGGGGCAACCCACCCCTAATTGGAGACCTGAAGATGAAGCAGAAAGCATAGTCCATTTATCCTATGGTAAAACCGCTTAAAGTGTCTAAGGAATCTTTCAAATAAAAAGAGAAATCAGTAGTTTTTGTTGCCATTGCTGCTACAACTGGTATTTTCACATAGATTGAAAAGATCAGCTGTCAGAGATCCACAACTTCATTCCCTTTATAAACTATTTTTTCCTGTCTTGCCCTGCAACTACATGAAAATACCACTTATTCTAAAATGAACTGCACTTTGATAGTTGCGCACATCATGCCTTTCATATTCAGAGATAATGTTCATGATCTTGTCATCATCCATGTGTCCTGGATGCACAGTTTGTCTGAAAATAATCATGGTAAATTTTACAAGAGGGCATTTTTTAATATGCTGCTGGTAAAGTCTGTCACTTTAGCTCTGATTCATTGCTTCAAGGACCAATACAACTTTGCAATTCCTCTGCTCATGTTTTGCTCATAGTGTAATGCTAACTCATGTACCAACAGCAGGTTGTTCTAATGTGAAATAGGGGAATATGACTTGCAACAGCCTAACTAATCTGTACCCAGAGAATAACACAGATGTCTAAACTACATATTGATTTATTATACTCTTCAGAATTTCCTGGTTTCCTCTAAAACACAAAAGGAAAAATGCAGGCCTCCTAGAAGGTCCCTCCTGAATTTAAGGTCTCCAAAATGCTCCTCGTTCTGAAGTTTTAAAATGTCAAAATTTTGGACCTATCACACTATCAATAATACTTGGAATGGTTCTGGGAATCTTCAGAGTTTCTGGATATCGACAGGTGGTCCAAAAGTAAGACAACTCTTATGGGAAAAAAAAAGTATCAGTATCAGACCAAATTTGCTCTCCAAAAATATCCCTCATAGGAAATCAGCAACCTCAACAGGGGATTCTTTTCTCTGTGCACTTTGTTAGAAGGCCTCTTAATAAGTGGGTATGTTCAATACTGTTTCCAGTAGAGACCTATTCACTATGTTTATTTCAGAAAACAACATCTCATTGACAAGCCATGGTCTGTCCTTTCATTCCTCCTCTTCTCCAGGCCTTCTCTGCGGAAGTTGCAAAAACTGTATCCTGTGTCTAAAGCTCTTCTACAAATTAGCCTGTCTGATACTATGATGACTAATTGTTTTCAACGTTTATAACTCTTTTTCCTGAATTCACTTGACCTGAGTGCTTCTGAAGACTGTTTGGTGCTCTCTGCTCTTCTGGCATCAAGCTCCTTCACACAGAGCTTGTCACTCATCTATTCTGACCATTAAGCATCCTTACTCCACAGATACTGCCAAGACGTCTTAACCTGTCATTTAAAAGTTCCCAACTATCATGCCCTCTTGTCCACCCCTTTCCAAAACTTGAGATCACTCTATTTAAGATCACAGCTTTTTCATTTTATGAAAATCCTACAATTTTTCCCCTTGATGACTCTATTGATACCATACCCACCTCCATTCATCTTACATCAACCTGTCTAAATGTTTACTGTTAAGCTCTAATATATCTCCCATTTTGTTTATATACATTTTCTTAACTGAACATGATTCCTAATTCTCTATTTCTCTCTCACACTCTTTTGAGTAGCTACTGCACTTACTATATCTATCCTTCACTTCGCAAGTATCATTCACTCATATTCATTTTTAAATTCTTGACAGATAACTGACCTACAATAAGCTGTACTTTTAAAAATTGTAAATGGTAACTGATAAGATTTTACATATACAGGTTGAGAATGCATTATCCAAAATATTTGGGATAAAAGGTATTTTGGATTTTGGAATATTTCAGATTTTTTAATATTTGCATTCTACTTCCTGGTATAATCCAAAAATCCAAAATTCAAAATGTGCCAATAAACTTTTATTGTGTGTCAGATCGGCGCTCAAAAAGTTTTGGATTTTGGAGTATTTCTTATTCTGGATTATTGGATTAGGGATAGCCAATCTGTATAGGCACCTGTGAAACCATCACCACAATCAAGAAAATGAACATACCTATCAACTCTAAAGGTTTCTCAATTCTTTATTTAATTTCTCCTTCCCATCTTTTCCGGCCAGCATACATCTTACCCCTTCTTCATGGAACCACTGATTGGCTTTCTATCATCATAAATTAGTTGCATTTTCTAGAATTGTATAAAAATTGAATACATTATGAAGTAATTTCATCTAGCCCCTTTCACTCAGCATAACTAGTTTGACATTCACCCATGTTGTAGCCTGTATCAGTGGCTCATTTCCTTATATCATTTAGTATTATTCCATTGTGGACATACCACAGTTTATTTACCCATCCACCTGTTGATGGGCACTCGGTTTGTTACCAGTTTCTGGCTCTTACAAATAAAACTGCTATGAATACAAATGTCTGAGTCTTTGGATAAATACATGCTTTCACTTATCTTGGGTAAATACCTGTGTTTGGAATAGCTAGGTCATAGGTAGAAGGTACATGTCTGGCTTTTTAAGAACCTGAAAAGTTGCATTCCAAAGTGCTTGCACCATTTTACATTCCCACCAGCAGTGTATGAGGATTCCAGTTGCTCCACATTCTCGACACTTGATACAATCAATCTTTTTAATTGTAACTTCTCTAATAGGTTTGCCACTTGTGGGAATAGGTACTATTTCTAGCCCTGTGTGAGTCACTTGTCACCTCTACTCATTTTAGAAATTTCTTTTTCAGGCCTCAGGTAGTTTCCTCACATACATGTGCTACTTAGTATTCAGCAGAATACCTAAAGGGGATCCTCTGCACATGTCAGCATTCTTCGAGTGCAGCTCTTCCTTCCTCGGTACTCTGTATTGCAATTTCTTGCTGCTGTAGTCTTGCCAAACTCTCAGCTCTGTCTCCTCATTACAGAGAATCCACCAGGGTTCACCTGAGTTTCCATCTGTGCATTGAGACATAGAAACTCTCAAGGCACTAACCTGAGAAAATCATAAGGCTTACTTCATTTATTCTCCAATTTTTACGATCCATTGTTCTTTGTTGGCTGATTCCAGTGTTCCAGTGCCTTAAAAATTAGAGCTTTATATATTTTGTTCATGTTTTGCTGTTTACAGTGGAAGGTCAGATCTGATCCCTGTTACTCCATCAAATAAATGGCATTTGCTTATATTTTTAATTATAAACTTTTTGTATGCTTTACACTTTAAACTAGTTGTAAACTCCTGGTATATACAGATTTTTCTTGTTATATTTATATTCCTTATACTTCAGAGTTTTTGACTTTTTAGGCATCTCAGATCATAATCCTTCTAATAATAATTCCTTATTAGAAGACATTCTCTGTACCCACCTCTTCTTGCCTTCTTACTCAAAATTAAAGTGATTTTATGTATTTAACAAACCTATCAGTTTCACTGACCAAGGGACATAGTTTAATCATGTAGGTAGATTGTTTCTGACTTGGATAAGAAGAAAATAAATCCTACAAAATAGGCTGAGAATTCTCAGGAAGTACTGAAATGGTACAGGTACAATTTAAAAAATATAAACTAAGTCATCTCCATGGTAAGGCTGAGTTAATCAGATGTGATGTCTGCCAGGCTATAATTATACAAGTCCAATCAATGCTCCTAAATAATCCATAACTGATCACAGCCAGCCACTCTTAAGTGACCTATGAAGATGACCTTAAATGTTTTCTCAAGCCAGGAGAAAATGATTGTTTTCTTATTCTTCACTTTTAACCCTTAAACTTGTGCCTAGCATTTCTGGATTGATGATAGTGAGATAGATGGTTTGTCTGAACTGACTTTGATTTCATTACAGGATTCCGCCTCTTGGATTGCTCACCTTAATCACATATTACAGGAAAGTAATGCTCTGTCCTAGTACTTGTCTGAGACTCTAGGACAAGATCACTGACCCAGGCTCCTACTTATCTGGGAGGTGGTGCTGAAGGAGACAAAAGTGAATAAAGTCAATTCAATTGAGCTTAATCCTGAAATGCTGGAAAATGCCTCAATTTGTTTGGGAGACCTTGATACTGTCTGGTCATTACAGCAAAGGAATGTAACCATTTAGAACAATGCTTCTTGAAATATTTATCCTGAAGAATCATTTTTTTTTTGAAAAAAAACACAATTGCAGATCAATACTTTCATATAACAAACATGAATTACTCTTAATTCTAACCAGAAACAATTCGTGGACCACAATGGCCCATGAAACTCACTTTTGGTAGCACTTCTTCAGCAATATTTTACACTCAAATAATTATTAAATTTACTACACTGTATTACTTTTAAATTGATATCTTAATTTCTGTGATCCTCAGCAGATTGTCTGTCCTGTATTCTAAGATACATCTTCTGGGTATCAACATCTTGATGTATCACAGTTGGCTCAAGTTCAGCATGAAAAAACTGAAATCGCCACTTTCCCTGCCAAATAGGGTCTTATCTATCTGTAATTGATACTAGCACTATCCCAATCACCAGAATCTAAAACTCCATAAAATTTTTAACATTTACCTCACCTTAATATTTAAAATCAATCACAAATTATTGCAGATTTTACAATCCTACTCTCCAGTCCTACTGCACACCAACCACTACCTAACTCCAGCCATACCACCAGGCACACATATTGTTTCAATCCTAGGTCACTATTTCATTTTACTATTTCAAACGTAGCTAGTACGCATGACTTTCAAGGTTGCATGCAATATTGTCTCATTTTCCCAGAGGAATGGATAGTATAGTGGTTAAGAGTACAGGATCTAGAGCTAGAATACCTGAATTTGAATTCAATTTTCCACTTACTAGTTGTAAAATCTTGGGAAAAGCTGTTTACTCTCTCTGCACAATCCATTTCTGCATAATAAAATGAAATTAATTATACTATACTTCTGATATGGTTGTTATTCAGATTAAATGAATTAGTATATTTAAATTACTTACCAATATCAATAACTAGTACATGATCAATCAGTGTAGCTCATACAATTATGCCTTATCTAGTCTTATTTCCAAGCTATTACTAAAAGAATCTTTCTACGGTAAACTGACAAAATTTATTTTCTTCCACATTTGAAATATACATACTATTTCTATTTGCATGCCTTTGCACTAACTCCTGCTCTTTTATTTCAACTTTCTCTGGGTATATCTTTATCCTATTCTGATTCAAAATACAACTCAATTCTTAACTCCTCTATGAAGCATTTATAGGTTACTTTAACAATCTCTGAGTTTTTCTAGAGTAACTATAGACAATACTCACAATGGAAGTCATCATCACGTAAGTGTTCAGTGTTACTGCATGTGTGATCATCTTTTCCATCCAGCGGATTTGACATGAGCAAAGAGCATGGCCTTTTCACCCAGAGAGAAAAATTTGAATTCCAACTCTTACACTTCCCACCTACAGAACCTGGGCAATTATCTGACTTCTCTGATTCTCAATTTCTTTCCCTGTGTTATAAAAATAGTGATATGAATAAGATTATTGTATGAAATGTTTACAACAGGAACACAGCCCTTCCTCGTAAACAACTGCAGTATTCTTGAGCCTGGAAATCATGTCTTATATTTCTTTACTTTCTAGCCCTTATAGCAAATAATATATACAGAGTAGTACTCAACAGAAATTTATTGGTTTCAGGCTGATTTCTTTTTAAGTGGGTGCTGGAACATAGCATGTTTATGCAGAACTCTTTTAACTGTACAATTCCAATGTTTACCGCTCTGTGTGCTCAGGGTACACCGTTGCTCATTGTGCTGCTAAGTAAAGAAGCCCAGTAATCTCCTTACAATATACTAATCCCCACAGACTGTAATAATTATAACTGACTTCAAGGGACTTACACAGTGGAATGTGTTTCTAAGTGAAGAAAAACTTCTAAAGTGTTTTTAACTTAAAACATCTTTATTATTTGGAAGTTACACTGTCAGATTACAAAAACCAATCCAAATTAATCAGGGTGTGATTAAAAGGTTTTTAAGTAAATGATATATAATAGGCAAAAACAAAGCTGAGACAAGATTTAATAGTAGTAAATGGTTACTTTACATCACAAATATTTATTCTGTTTTCATGTGGGCAGTTTGGCACAATAAATATTTAGGTTAGATTTAAGTAGGAACGTCTTAATAACATTTTTAAGATTTTAGTTTGACAAACCCTCAAAGGACACTGAAAATTCTCTTAGTATAAATTTTTTACACTTGTGTCCTTTAAATTGATGCAAATAAATTTTTAAAATATATTCCTGTATTTTATTTTTTTTTTACATTTCTGCCCACAAGACTTTTTTTTAATTTTTAATTTTTGGGGATACATATTAAGTGTATATATTTATGGGGTACATGAGATCTTTTGAAACAGGCATAAATGCATAAAAGTCACAATAGAGGCAATTCGGTATCCATCACCTCAAGCATTTATCCTGTCTTTGAGTTACAATCTAATTATATTCTTTCAGTTGTTTTTAAATGTATAATAAATTATTATTGACTATAATCACACTGTTGTGCTATCAAATACTAGAAATTGAGCTACCATATGATCCAGCAATCCCACTGCTAGCTACATACTCAGAAGAAAGGAAATCAGTATGTCAAAGAGATATCTGCACTCCCATGTTTATTGCAGTACTATTCACAATAGACAAGATTTGTAAGCAAACTAAATGTCCATCAAAAGATGAATAAAGAAAATATAGTACATATATACAATGGAATACTATTCAGCCATAAAAAAGAATGAGATCCTGTCATTTGCAAAAACATGGACGGAACTAGAGGTCATTATGTTAAATGAAATAAGCCAGGCACAGAAAGATAAATTGCATATGTTCTCATCTATTTGTGGGTGCTAAAAAAAAATGAACTCATGAAGATAGAGAGTAGCAGAATGGTTACCAGAGACTGGGAAGGGTAGTGGAGAGTGGCTAGGGGGCGATGGTTAACTGGTGAAAAATATAATTAGAATAAATCAGAAATATTTTTAAATTGTTGAGTTTATTGCTAGGCAAAGGGTAAAATACAGTAAAAAAAAAAAAAGGTTAGCTGTTAGGTAGGTAAAGTGTTCGAGAATTAAAAGATATTTCAAGGTTCCTTTAACAAAAACAGTAAAAACAATATACATATTATCTGTGATATAAAAGAAGGTGTTGAATCTGTTTGGATGCCCAAGTACCATTTCTATAGAAATCTAATTTCTAAGATAGAAACAATAGCATGAGGCAAATTATTTGTAGATATACTATCTGCCTTCAAGAGACGTTCTGGCCACCTTTGCCTGGTAATAGATATATTTCAGTAGTGTGTATATAATGGGTAGATGATTGCATAGGAGTCAAGATGCTGGGACTTTAAGAACATTTGGAAACTTTTAGAGAAACCAATAAATGAATAAGGAAATCAGAAGATCTGAACCAGAGTGGAGGCTAGAGGAATTATCTATCTAGGTGACATAAGAACACCTAAGGACAGATAGAAAAGGGAGGATGGGGAAAAGAAGAAAGGGAAGGAGGTCCAGGATACGTGTATTATCATAGAAGCCTAAGCCTGGAAAATGGCATGAAAAGGTTTATGCCTAGAACTAAGAATAAAACGTGAGAGGGACACTAGATAAGTACATGTGTAACCCAGTGATTAACACCCATAGAAATCCACAATTAAAGAATGTAGACAAAGGCTAACTAATGAGGAACAAGAAACATTAAGCATGTAGTGAGAATGGAAGAAGCTGTTCATATGCTCCACAATAAAACCGTTTTTGTGGTACAGAGAGACCTTTAAAATGAATGCATTTCAGTAACATGATGGTTTATAGCAGTTTCACAAGTTTTCAAATGATATTCTATTTCTTTCTGAGAGTAAATTGGTTTTCTCATATCTCATTTCAAATGGTCCAAGACAGGGATGCCCTCTCTCACCACTCCTATTCAACATAGTGTTGGAAGTTCTGGCCAGGGCAATTAGGCAGGAGAAGGAAATAAAGGGTATTCAGTTAGGAAAAGAGGAAGTCAAATTGTCCCTGTTTGCAGATGACATGATTGTATACCTAGAAAACCCCATCGTCTCAGCCCAAAATCTCCTTAAGCTGATAGGCAACTTCAGCAAAGTCTCAGGATATAAAATCAATGTGCAAAAATCATAAGCATTCCTATACACCAATAACAGACAAACAGAGAGCCAAATCATGAGTGAACTCCCATTCACAATTGCTTCAAAGAGAATAAAATACCTAGGAGTCCAACTTACAAGGGATGTGAAGGACCTCTTCAAGGAGAACTACAAACCACTGCTCAATGAAATAAAAGAGGACACAAACAAATGGAAGAACATTCCATGCTCATGGGTAGGAAGAATCAATATCGTGAACATGGCCATACTGCCCAAGGTAATTTACAGATTCAGTGCCATCCCCATCAAGCTACCAATGACTTTCTTCACAGAATTCAAAAAAACTACTTTAAAGTTCATATGGAACCAAAAAAGAGCCCGCATCACCACGTCAATCCTAAGCCAAAAGAATAAAGCTGGAGGCATCACGCTACCTGACTTCAAACTATACTACAAGGCTACAGTAACCAAAATAGCATGGTACTGGTACCAAAACAGAGATATAGATCAATGCAACAGAATGGAGCCCTCAGAAATAATGCCACATACCTACAACCATCTGATCTTTGACAAACCTGACAAAAACAAGAAATGGGGAAAGGATTCCCTATTTAATAAATGGTGCTGGGAAAACTGGCTAGCCATATGTAGAAAGCTGAAACTGGATGCCTTCCTTACACCTTATACAAAAATTAAGTCAAGGTGGATTAAAGACTTCAATGTTAGACCTAAAACCATAAAAACCCTAGAAGAAAACCTAGGCAGTACCATTCAGGACATAGGCATGGGCAAGGACTTCATGTCTAAAACACCAAAAGCAATGGTAACAAAAGCTAAAATGGACAAATGGGATCTAATTAAACTAAAGAGCTTCTGCACTGCAAAAGAAACTACCATCAGAGTGAACAGGCAACCTACAGAATGGGAGAAAATTTTTTCAATCTACTCATCTGACAAAGGGCTAATATCCAGAATCTACAATGAACTCAAACAAATTTACAAGAAAAAAACAAACAACCCCATCAAAAAGTGGGCAAAGGATATGAACAGACACTTCTCAAAAGAAGACATTTATGCAGCCAAAAGACACATGAAATAATGCTCATCATCACTGGCCATCAGAGAAATGCAAATCAAAACCACAATGAGATATCATCTCACACCAGTTAGAATGGCGATCATTAAAAAGTCAGGAAACAACAGGTGCTGGAAAGGATATGGAGAAATAGGAACACTTTTACACTTTTGGTGGAACTGTAAACTAGTTCAACCATTGTGGAAGTCAGTGTGGTGATTCCTCAGGGATCTAGAACTAGAAATACCATTTGACCCAGCCATCCCATTACTGGGTAGATACCCAAAGGATTATAAATCATGCTGCTATAAAGACACATGCACACGTATGTTTATCGTGGCACCATTCACAATAGCAAAGACTTGGAACCAACCCAAATGTCCAACAATGATAGACTGGATTAAGAAAATGTGGCACATATACACCATGGAATACTATGCAGCCATAAAAAAGGATGAGTTCATGTCCTTTGTAGGGACATGGATGAAGCTGGAAACCATCATTCTCAGCAAACTATCACAAGGACAAAAAACCAAACACTGCATGTTCTCACTCATAGGTGGGAACTGAACAATGAGAACACATGGACACAGGAAGGGGAACATCACACACCGGGGCCTGTTGTGGGGTGGGGGGACGGGGGAGGGATAGCATTAGGAGATATACCTAATGTTAAATGACGAGTTACTGGGTGCGGCGCACCAACATGGCACATGTATACATATGTAACAAACCTGCACATTGTGCACATGTACCCTAAAACTTAAAGTATAATAAAAAATAATAATAAAACAAATAAAATTGTCCCAAACCATCTTTCCCATCTTTCTGTATTAATGACTACGTATGAGTGTGTGGATAATCTTTCTTTAGCCATGGATAGAATGAAAATGTACAACTTTATTGACAATATTCTTATAAATTTCTTAAATTCAATCTATATTTTTACCCTGGTAGTAGTATCCTTAAAATTAACTCATTTCTAACAGTTGTAAATGAAAAATATATTTAGGATGTAACTATATGCTTAAAATGAGACACAGATATTTTTAAATTGCTAATTTCTTGATACTTTAATATTTAACACCTTTGTAACTTCTTGAGTTTGAGTTTTTAAGTACTTTAACATAGAAATGTGGAAATCCAAAATTACATTGCTGAATTTTATTTTATCTGGCTAATGCAAGGTGAAGTCACTTATGTTACAATCAATTATAATAAACAATACACATAAGAAGATGATATAACATAAACTTACGCTTGATTAAAGAATTTCACTAAATTGATACTTCCAACAAGCAATTATCTCAAGAATTAAAAATATGATATTTTAAAAGAAACTAAAAAAAGACACAGCCTCAGTTCTAGAATATTATCATCCTAAATTATTTAAATACTGGTAAATTAATTACACAACCTATGTAGGTTAATTATATATTATTTAAATCACATTAGTATACAATGAGCTTTTACATAAGTTTTTAAAGCTGATATTTGAAACTCTTTTAACATTTGCAATAAAAATATCTGAAATTTGACTATTCTAATACAATTTGGTATTTTTGCCTTAGATCTGTTTTTGCTGCAGCTGATTATCATTGTAAAAATTATTTTCAAAACCACAGAAAGAAGGCTTAATTGAATTATACTCCTTAAACTTATATAGGCATTTTATTATACGAATGACATTAGCTAAAGAGTAAAAATCTGATAATTATTCTCCCCTTAATTAATTTTTAAATGCTATAAGCTTTTAATAATATAAACAAAATACCTCCTTGAGGGTGCTATTTCCAAAAAAAATTATGTCAAGTATATGGTATACTGTCTTATCTAAGACCATGTACCTACTTTTTTACTCTATGTCACTATTTTAGTGTTGCTATTACACAACACTAAAGTATGCTCCTTATGATTGGGTTGTGCCCTGATAAACTCACCATTAAGTTGAAAATATCTAAGTTGGAAATGCATTTGATATATACAACCTTTAACCTAACATCCATAGAGCTTAGCCAAGCACACCTAAACATGCTCATTAGCCTACAGTTAGACAAAATTACCTAACACAAAGCCTCTTTTATAGTAACGTTTGAATAGCTCATGCAATTTATTAAATACTGTACTGAAAGTGGAAAACAATGGTTGTGTGGGTGTTCAAAGTATGGTTTCTACTCAGTTCGTATCACTTTCGCACCATCATAAAGTCGAAATATTGTTAAGTGAAACCATCTTAAGTTAGGGACCGTCTATAGTTGGAATATGAGTTATACATGTGAACTCATACATTAACTTCTATTCTTAAATTCCAGAAGACAACATCCCCAGCTTTAACCTAGTTTTCCCTAGAGATTTTATTACTGAAGTAATGATCCTCTGGTTTCACTCATTCCTGGTTTATCATCTCACCTTCCATATTACATTTCTGCTTTTTAAACACAGCTTGCCTCATACTTCACTGCAAAATTTTCAACCCCATCAATTCTCACCATGCAGATTTCCTCCCTGTGACAATTAGTCTTTTTAGGTTAAAACAACTCTCAGATTATTGTCCTATGCTTCCTTCTTAGTATGTATGACATGTGTATACCATTATCACAGAAACATGTAATTATAATCTATTTACACATCTGTCTTTTCCAATAGATAATATAATCCATGAAGTCAAAGAGAGTTCTTATTTATTGTTGTATCTATGAAAACTAACACACTGCCCAATAAGAGTAACAATTTAATGTTTGTTGAACAAATAAATGAAAGAGGATATAATGTCTTCTCCTTTCCAAGATGGTTTAATTCTAAGCCACCCTCAAAGGAATGACTCAGTAATAGGATAATACTAGTGTAGTTTCAAGAATTCCAATTGACACCACATTCCCCAAACTAAACATTTTGGGTATGCTCATCACCAAATCAGCAGTTACATTAAAATCCTTTTGAAGAACATGAATCAATTGTTTTCCTATTCTTTAGAGGATTTAGAACAGTTTTAGTAATATTTAAAGCACACAGTCCTTCATTTACTTCCAATGACAGGCATAACACCAGCTATTGTGTATAGTGAAACTTAATATTTGGCACAACTGGTATCAGAGAAGCTTCTATCAACTAATGAAGCATAAGCATTACACTAAGGTTAAAATTCTAGGTCTTCAAAAACAATGCCAAGTAGATCACAGGTTCAGCCTTAAGAGTTTAGGATTAGAATCCAGAAAAAGATAGAAATGTCATCAGTGATTTTCAACAAGTTCAAATCATGAAATATCTATATGTCTTTTTGATTTGGTAAAAACCACCATCAATACTCCTTTGTTCCTCATTATCCTGCCTTCTGGCCCATTTCTGTATGCTATCATATCCACAGAACACCAATCCAAGTCTAAAAGATTCAAAAAAAATTCAAAAACATTCAAGTTTTGTCAAAAGGTAGCAAAGTGTATTTGGGGAGAGTAGTCTATGGGTATGGGTGGGTGCTCACTATATACAGATTTCTATATAACAATGACCAAAATATCCAAAACACACTCTTTAGACAAAGTCTCATTCAACACAGTAGCTGCTTCACAATTTCTCTTTTCTCTCCCTTTCTGTAGGAAGTCTAGACAACTCTAATTTTCCTCTTCGCTTTATTTCTGGATCTGCTACTTTAGATTCTTTTTATGGATCTATTCTTTTTAATCCACCTTTAAAAATATTCAGTTAGCTGTGTGTCCTTTCTTATGTAACTCAATCTACTATCTGTGCTACTTCAGCATACCTATATATTATCCTGACTATCAAAAAAGATCTCAAAAGCCCAGCAACACAAGTACAGATTCTTTTTTGTCCAACAGCAGTTAAAGAAAAAATTACTATTCCTTAAACTTTAAAATGTTTGCGATTATCTTCATATCTTAAATAACTAAAAATAAATTTTGTTCTAAAATATAAATGTAACATCTAAAATCAATTCTGCGATAGACAAGTAACAGTAGAAGCCAAAATTTGAAGAAAAAAAAAAAAACCTTAAGAATGTAGGAAATTGTAGCTATTATTTTCCTTAATGATTTGAAAAAAAACCCTTATTAAATGTGTGACATGGCAGGCTTTCATGTAGGTTCTCATAAGCCACGGAATTTTGAGAACTATGAGGTTAAAAGAAGCAGTCATGATTTCCAGGGAGCCTGCTGTTGCCTGAAGCTGCACAACATCCTAAAGTGCTTGTCAACCCCTGACAAACATGACCCAAGACAGCAGCAAACACCCAGCTATAAAAACTGAAACAGAGTGCATCCAAATTCAACACTTGCCAAAAGGAGGTATCTAGCAGAAATGGCTAGAAAATTTATCTCAAAAGAAATGTTTCTCTTTTCAGTATGCCAAAGCCAACAAAGAAGGTATTTTTAGTGAATACACTCCTCCCAACCCCACTTCATTCCCACTTTATTACTACAAATCTAGAAAGTCAGCTGGTACAATGTCATTAATGTAGTACTTCCAACCTTCTTTGGGGAGCAAATCTGGAAAAAGTTAGAGCATTTATAATAATCTACACCTCATTTCCTTGACATCTTAGTGACCTTTGTAAAGTTAATCTCCTATCTCAGATCTCTTATTTTTAAATGAGAATAACAATAGAAAATACCTCTTGTCATTGTTGTGAATTAAATTAGATACTACATGTAAAAAAATCTAAAAATGTTTTAAGCACAAATCAAATAGTGAATCAGTGTGAATTAATAATAATAGGTAAAAAATGTGGGTTTATAACTCAAAGTAGTCTTTTTTCTCTCTACACTAACAGAATAAACTAACAAATTTCGTGATCAAAAGTAAAAATGTAAAAATTCCCATACTTTCTTCAGTTTGTAATGTGAATTTATAGCACATAGATGCACAAAGTAAACCAAATTCAAGGCCTAAAGAGCTAATTCTGACCTATTTAAGAATGGCGTTCTATTTCTACATAAGCTATCTGCTCCACTGCCAATATAGGTATTACGAAACATTTATTATCCCCACTTATTACATTAAAAGCACTCTGTCATATTTACCTGCCTTTAACAATGCAATGCTTAAATTTAGCATCATAAACTAACAATGTCAGAAAAACATAAACATATATGTATAAGAAAGCATAAATTTAAAGATTATTTTATTTGAATGTAAATAAAATAATGCTAAAATAAGTGACAAAAAAGTTGAAAATAATTATATGCATCTCTTCTTTCAAAATGTGTAAAAACATGATAAACTGAAACAAACACAGGAATAAAAATAATCTTGGAGTTGTGACATATGTGAATAATTTCCATGGTTTCTTACTCCCTGGACAAAGACACAAATTGTTTTATACTATTCAATTAGGTGGTTGTCTAGTGACCTAAAATATTAACACGCTTATCTAAGTCACTGTTTCTAACAGACTCTAATCCACCATGTTTATATTCAAGTACTGAATATTGTAACTTCAATTGATAAGAATCCCACAAGGCTATCTCCATAAACCATAGAAGAAAAAAATGAATTTTTTTTGGTCACAGGTCAAAAGGTACCAACCACATCTCTGCAGCACCCTGCAGCTTCTGAATTAATTTAGCTTATTTATGACTCATTGGACTCTTCTTGTCACTGTTCAAGTGACTTTCCACCACTGTTAGGGTTTTGATGTCTTAACTTTTTTTTTAGACTTCTATAATACTGTTTAGGATACTGCTACGCTCATTTAAAAAAGGATAAGTTTTAAAAATTATTTTCTAATTGAAAAACACTTAATCCATTATGTTACGTTAACTTTTACATACAGTGGGATAAGTACAAGCATTAAGACTAATTTTTATATACTTATTTGGTGAAAATGTCATTATGTCATTATCAGATACAGAAATGATACAGGAGGAAGGCATCTGAGTACATTATATGAGTTCTGCTATCATAATTATTAAATATTGATAAAACATTAGCATTTATTGTGATCAGAGCATGTAAAACACATAAATGTCAATATTTCAGTTAGGAACAGCCTACAGGGAAGCAAGTTAATAAAGGGAAGGCTTTCTGCTTCACACTCAGAAGGAAATGGGTAATAGTCTGTGAGGGGATATGTCAAAATGAGCTTCCTGAGGCAAAAAGAACATAAGCCTGAGAGAAACTGGTTCATACTTTGTACACCTAAACCTTTCACCAACTTATCCCTTTGCCACCTTACCACACTCCACCTTCCAAAATACCATAGCTTTTTGTTTGTTTTTACTTTCTGAGCCAGAAGAATAGACTTGATATGGACACAGATAGAGCCTTACTTTCCAATGCAACATTTGTCTACTTGCTTGAAAAACTGTGTTTTACAAAAGGTAGCACTTTATTTTCACAGTGAAGTAGATAGCTTGTAGAGAAAAAGAACACCTTTTAGCTCTCTAGGTCTTGAATTTGGTTTACTTTGTGCATCTATCTGCTATAATTGCACTTTCTAAACTGAAAAAAATATGAGAATTTTTACATTTTTACTTTTGATCAAGGAATTTGTTAGTTCATTCTATTAGTGCACAGAGAAATAAAGACTTCAAGTTTTAAACCCACGTTTTACCTATTATTATTAATTCACACTGATTCAATATTTGCTTGTGCTTAAAACTTTTTTAGATTTTTATATATACTATCTAATTCAATTCACAATGACAAGAGTTATTTTCTATAATTATTCTCATTTAAACATTCTCATTAAAAAAAGAGATCTGAGATAGATTACCTTTACAAAGGTCAAGTTAATGGTTAATAGTTTTAAAGTGATTATCATAATTTTGTTTAAATTAATTATAACAAAATGCCAACAGCTAATACATCAACAATATGTAAATTCTATATTTCATTTTCGTCATCTGCAACATGTGCATAAAAATAATATCCAAATCATATGGCAGGTGAGAATAATAAGTGATTATGTGTAAGACATTAGAACAGTACCTGAAACAGAATTAGTGCTAAATAAGTGTTAACTGTTTTTTTAAACTGACTACACAATCTGTTCTTATTTTGCATGAAGGTGAATACTGTGTACTTGGAAGAATCCAACCAAAGATCATCAGCAAGAAAAATAAGCACATAGGATGAGCAAACATATAAGAGAAAATTTAGACTTCACAAGTTTACATACAGTAAGTCCACCTGTCTCCTTACACTCACTTAGGATACAACATTACAGGTTACATTTCTATCAGGCATCTATATAGGTGGGTAGTTTTATTTGGCCTTGTTTCTCTTTTAGGTAGCTTATCTTTTTGGCAGCTGGATTTAAATTTTAATAATCTTATCTTCTAGGAAATTGATTCTTAGGATATGTGTGGTATTTGGCAAAAATATCACACAAAATCATGCTGATGACTTAGACATACACTTGGCTGAGAGTACTGAGATTATCCATGAGATTTTCCCAATTTCACTTTATTCCTGTTTTTTTGCTAATCTTCATTAATTTCACTTTTTCTTTAGTGCTTCCTATGTGCAGTTAACTCTTCCTCTAGAGGTCTACATTCTATTGTTTCCCATAGCTTCCAATATCAGGCTTCATTGCATAGTTTATCTACCTCATGATTCTTCAAGATTACCCTCTCCAGTGGAATCTCTCTCCAAATATAAATAGCATCTATTCATGAGCCCTATTTCCTGTGCCTTCTACAACTGCCATTTGATTAAAAACTAGGCTCCTAAGAGGCCTCCAATGACCTGCTAGTTACCAAGCCTAATGGGCTTTTCTTGTAACACCAGAGAATTTAGCCATCTTCTTTGTTTTGAAAACTCTCATCTCTACTGCATTCTTTGTCACTGAAATCTCCTGATAGTCCTCCTACTTTCATGGTTGCTCAATCTTATTATTTGGCACCCAGATTCTGACTGTAGTCATCTTCTCTTCATCTCTAATCTCTCTCATAAACAGAGCCCAAACACGTGATTTCAATTCCCAACTTAATGTACATAAGTGTGACATCTAAATCATCAGCCAGTTTAGCCCTGACCTCCAGACAGACTGTCAGTGTCACATTTCCAGTTTCCAAGCACAACTGTCTCCAGTCTACTCCCTCTCCTCCACCAAGCCAACACACCCTCTTAAGGACTGTTTTGAAGAGAGCAATGTGCACTGGTTGAGTGCAACAACTACTATGGAGTTAAATCCTGCTCTGCCCCCAACAAGCTGTGTAATCTCTGCAAGTTACATAACCTCTTCAAGTGTAAATTTTCCAATCTGTAAAATGAGAATAACACCACTACCTAATAGGATGATTATTAAAAGCACAGTATATAATATATGCAAATTGCTTGACAGTGAAAAGTCATGTTGTAAGTATTTGATAACATTAGGTACTATGATTTTAATTATACTTATCAATGAAATATTATTAATAAGAGTAAAAATGGCTTGGCATAATGCCTGAAATAAAACAATCCTCAATAAATGTTAGGCACTATTTACTATTATGGCAAAATATGTCAATCTGTATGTCAAGTAGGGAGGTAACTATATTAAAATGAACAGAATACTGACCACCTGAGTCAAAAGAACTAGACACGAAAACTAGGTCTGAAATGTAAAACAATGTAAATAGAGTAGGTCACTACATTCTGTGAATATTAAATCATTTACCTGCAAGATAAAAAGCTTTGAAAAATCGAATTCCAAAGGGCTTATACTCAATAGATCCATGGAGAACTAATTTGGTATATCCAAATATTGACTCATCTCTCTTTACCCCTAATTTTTCCATATTGTGTGTTCTCTCTCTAGTAAGGAAACAACTGTCTTCCTAGACACCAAAGTTAGACATTCACAGACTGCTTCTATTCCTCTTCCCCATGTCAGAATATGACCTCACCATTCATCGAGGTACTGAAGCCAAAAATCATGATTCAACTGCAATATATTTTTTTATAAAACCTGGCAATGGGCCAGGCATGGTGGTTCATGCCTTTAATCCCAGTGCTTTAGGAGGCTGAGGAGGGAAGATTGCTTGAGGCTGGGAGTTTGAGAGCAGCCTGGGTAACACAGTGAGGCTCCATTTCTCAAGTAATAATAATAATAATAATAAAATTAACCAGTCACGGTGGCATAGGCCTACAGTCCTAGTTACTAAAGAGGCTGAGGTAGGAGGACCACTTGAGCTCAGGAGTTTGAGGCTGCAGGGAGCTATGATTGTACCACTACACTCCAACCTCAGTGACTCAGTGAGACCACATCTCTTAAAACCTAGGACTGACAGGGAGGTCGGAGCCAAGATGGCCGAATAGGAACAGCGCCGGTCTACAGCTCCCAGTGTGAGTGAAGCAGAAGACGGGTGATTTCTGCATTTCCATCTGAGGTACTGGGTTCATCTCACTGCGGAGTGCCAGATAGTGGGCGCAGGACAGTGGGTGCAGCACACCCTGCGCGAGCCGAAGCAGGGTGAGGCATTGCCTCACTCAGGAAGCACAAGGGGTCAGGGAGTTCCCTTTCCTAGTCAAAGAAAGGGGTGACAGACAGCACCTGGAAAATCGGGTCAGTCCCACCCTAATTCTGCGCTTTTCTGACAGGCTTAAAAAACGGCGCAGCAGTAGATTATATCCCGCACCTGGCTCAGAGGGTCCTACGCCCACGGAGTCTCACTGATTGCTAGCACAGCAGTCTGAGATCAAACTGCAAGGCGGCAGCCAGGCTGGGGAGGGGAGCCCGCCATTGCCCAGGCTTGCTTAGGTAAACAAAGCAGCCAGGAAGCTCCAACTGGGTGGAGCCCACCACAGCTCAAGGAGGCCTGCCTGCCTCTGTAGGCTCCACCTCTGGGGGCAGGGCACACAAAAACAAAAAGACAGCAGTAACCTCTGCAGACTTAAATGTCCCTGTCTGACAGCTTTGAGGAGAGCAGTGGTTCTCCCAGCACGCAGCTGGAGATCTGAGAACGGGCAGACGGCCTCCTCAAGTGGGTCCCTGACCCCTGACCCCCGAGCAGCCTAACTGGGAGGCACCCCCCAGTAGGGGTAGACTGACACCTCACACGACCAGGTACTCCTCTGAGACAAAACTTCCAGAGGAACGATCAGACAGCAGCATTTGCGGTTCACGAAAATCCGCTGTTTATGCAGCCACCACGGCTGGTACCCAGGCAAACAGGGTCTGGAGTGGACCTCTAGCAAACTCCAACAGATCTGCAGCTGAGGGTCCTGTCTGTTAGAAGGGAAACTAACAAACAGAAAGGACATCCACACCAAAAACCCATCTGTACATCACCATCATCAAAGACCAAAAGTAGATAAAACCACAAAGATGGGGGAAAAACCGAGCAGAAAAACTGGAAACTCTAAAAAGCAGAGCGCCTCTCCTCCTCCAAAGGAACATAGTTCCTCACCAGCAACGGAACAAAGCTGGACGGAGAATGACTTTGACGAGTTGAGAGAAGAAGGGTTCAGACAATCAAACTACTCCGAGCTACAGGAGGAAATTCAAACCAAAGGCAAAGAAGTTAAAAACTTCGAAAAAAATTTAGATGAATGTATAACTAGAATAACCAATACAGAGAAGTGCTTAAAGGAGCTGATGGAGCTGAAAGCCAAGGCTCAAGAACTACGTGAAGAATGCAGAAGCCTCAGGAGCCGATGCAATCAACTGGAAGAAAGGGTATCAGTGATGGAAGATGAAATGAATGAAATGAAGCGAGAAGGGAAATTTAGAGAAAAAAGAATAAAAAGAAACGAACAAAGCCTCCAAGAAATATGGGACTATGTGAAAACACCAAATCTACGTCTGATTGGTGTATCTGAAAGTGACGGGGAGAATGGAACCAAGTTAGAAAACACTCTTCAGGATATTATCCAGGAGAACTTCCCCAATCTAGCAAGGCAGGCCAACATTCAGAATCAGAAAATACAGAGAATGCCACAAAGCTACTACTCGAGAAGAGCAACTCCAAGACACATAATTGTCAGATTCACCAAAGTTGAAATGAAGGAAAAAATGTTAAGGGCAGCCAGAGAGAAAGGTCGGGTTACTCACAAAGGGAAGCCCATCAGACTGACAGCGGATCTCTCAGCAGAAACTCTACAAGCCAGAAGAGAGTGGGGGCCAATATTCAACATTCTTAAAGAAAAGAATTTTCAACCCAGAATTTCATATCCAGCCAAACTAAGTTTCATAAGTGAGGGAGAAATAAAATACTTTACAGACAAGCAAATGCTGAGAGATTTTGTCACCACCAGGACTGCCCTAAAAGAGCTCCTGAAGGAAGCACTAAACATGGAAAGGAACAACAGGTACCAGCCACTGCAAAATCATGCCAAATTGTAAAAACCATCGAGGCTAGGAAGAAACTGCATGAACTAACGAGCAAAATAACCAGCTAACATCATAATGACAGGATCGAATTCACACATAACAATATTAACTTTAAATGTAACTGGACTAAATGTTCCAATTAAAAGACACAGACTGGCAAATTGGATAAAGAGTCAAGACCCATCAGTGTGCTGTATTCAGGAAACCCATCTCATGTGCAGAGACACACATAGGCTCAAAATAAAAGGATAGAGGAAGATCTACCAAGCAAATGGAAAACAAAAAAAGGCAGGGGTTGCAATCCCAGTCTCGGATAAAACAGACTTTAAACCAACAAAGATCAAAAGAGATAAAGAAGGCCATTACATAATGGTAAAGGGATCAATTCAACAAGAAGAGCTAACTATCCTAAATATATATGCACCCAATACAGGAGCACCCAGATTCATAAAGCAAGTCCTCAGTGACCTACAAAGAGACTTAGACTCCCAAACATTAATAATGGGAGACTTTAACGCCCCACTGTCAACATTAGACAGATCAACGAGACAGAAAGTTAACAACGATACACAGGAATTGAACTCAGCTCTGCACGAAGTGGACCTAATAGAAATCTACAGACCTCTCCACCCCAAATCAACAGAATACACATTTTTTTCAGCACCACACCATACCTATTCCAAAATTGACCACATACTTGGAAGTAAAACTCTCCTCAGCAAATGTAAAAGAACAGAAATTATAACAAACTGTCTCTCAGACCACAGTGCAATCAAACTAGAACTCAGGATTAAGAAACTCACCCAAAACTGCTCAATTACATGGAAACTGAACAACCTGCTCCTGAATGACTACTGGGTACATAACGAAATGAAGGCAGAAATAAAGATGTTCTTTGAAACCAATGAGAACAAAGACACAACACACCAGAATCTCTGGGACACATTCAAAGCAGTGTGTAGAGGGAAATTTATAGCACTAAATGCCCACAAGAGGAAGCAGGAAAGATCCAAAATTGACACCCTAACATCACAATTAAAAGAACTAGAAAAGCAAGAGCAAACACATTCAAAAGCTAGCAGAAGGCAAGAAATAACTAAAATCAGAGCAGAACTGAAGGAAATAGAGACACAAAAAACCCTTCAAAAAATTAATGAATCCAGGAGCTGGTTTTTTGAAAGGATCAACAAAATTGATAGACCGCTAGCAAGACTAATAAAGAAGAAAAAAGAGAAGAATCAAATAAACGCAATAAAAAATGATAAAGGGGATACGATCCCACAGAAATACAAACTACCATCAGAGAATACTATGAACACCTCTATGCAAATAAACTAGAAAATCTAGAAGAAATGGATAAATTCCTTGACACATACACCCTCCCAAGACTAAACCAGGAAGAAGTTGAATCTCTGAATAGACCAATAACAGGATCTGAAATTGTGGCAATAATCAATACCTTACCAACCAAAAAGAGTCCAGGACCAGATGGATTCACAGCTGAATTCTACCAGAGGTACAAGGAGGAACTGGTACCATTCCTTCTGAAACTATTCCAATCAACAGAAAAAGAGGGAATCCTCCCTAACTCATTTTATGAGGCCAGCATCATCCTGATAGCAAAGCCGGGCAGAGACACAACCAAAAAAGACAATTTTAGACCAATATCCTTGATGAACATTGATGCAAAAATCCTCAATAAAATACTGGCAAACTGAATCCAACAGCACATCAAAAAGCTTATCCACCATGATCAAGTGGGTTCATCCCTGGGATGCAAGGATGGTTCAATATACGCAAATCAATAAATGTAATCCAGCGTATAAACAGAACCAAAGACAAAAACCACATGATTATCTCAATAGATGCGGAAAAGGCCTTTGACAAAATTCAACAACCCTTCATGCTAAAAACTGTCAATAAATTAGGTATTGATGGGATGTATCTCAAAATAATAAGAGCTATCTATGACAAACCCACAGCCAATATCATACTGAATGGGCAAAAACTGAAAGCATTCCCTTTGAAAACTGGCACAAGACAAGGATGCCCTCTCTCACCACTCCTATTCAACATAGTGTTGGAAGTTCTGGCCAGGGCAATTAGGCAGGAGAAGGAAATAAAGGGTATTCAGTTAGGAAAAGAGGAAGTCAAATTGTCCCTGTTTGCAGATGACATGATTGTATATCTAGAAAACCCCATTGTCTCAGCCCAAAATCTCCTTAAGCTGATAAGCAACTTCAGCAAAGTCTCAGGATACAAAATCAATGTACAAAAATCACAAGCATTCTTATACACCAATAACAGACAAACAGAGAGCCAAATCATGAGTGAACTCCCATTCACAATTGCTTCAAAGAGAATAAAATACCTAGGAATCCAACTTACAAGGGATGTGAAGGACCTCTTCAAGGAGAACTACAAACCACTGCTCAAGGAAATAAAAGAGGATACAAACAAATGGAAGAACATTCCATGCTCATGGGTAGGAAGAATCAATATCGTGAACATGGCCATACTGCCCAAGGTAATTTATAGATTCAATGCCATCCCCATCAAGCTACCAATGACTTTCTTCACAGAATTCAAAAAAACTACTTAAAAGTTCATATGGAACCAAAAAAGAGCCCGCATCGCCACGTCAATCCTAAGCCAAAAGAACAAAGCTGGAGGCGTCACGCTACCTGACTTCAAACTATACTACAAGGCTACAGTAACCAAAACAGCATGGTACTGGTACCAAAACAGAGATATAGATCAATGGAACAGAACAGAGCCCTCAGAAATCTACGCCGCATATCTAAAACTATCTGATCTTTGACAAACCTGAGAAAAACAAGCAATGGGGAAAGGATTCCCTATTTAATAAATGGTGCTAGGAAAACTGGCTAGCCATATGTAGAAAGCTGAAACTGGATCCCTTCCTTACACCTTATACAAAAATTAAGTCAAGGTGGATTAAAGACTTAAACGTTAGACCTAAAACCTTAAAAACCCTAGAAGAAAACCTAGGCAGTACCATTCAGGACAGAGGCATGGGCAAGGACTTCATGTCTAAAACACCAAAAGCAATGGCAACAAAAGCCAAAATTGACAAATGGGATCTAATTAAAGAGCTTCTGCACAGCAAAAGAAACTACCATCAGAGTGAATAGGCAACCTACAAAATGGGAGAAAATTTTCGCAACCTACTCATCTGACAAACGGCTAATATCCAGAATCTACAATGAACTCAAACAAATTTACAAGAAAAAAATAAACCCATCAAAAAGTGGGTGAAGGATATGAACAGACACTTCTCAAAAGAAGACATTTATGCAGCCAAAAACCGCATGAAAAAATGCTCACCATCACTGGCCATCAGAGAAATGCAAATCAAAACCACAATGAGATACCATCTCACACCAGTTAGAATGGCAATCATTAAAAAGTCAGGAAACAACAGGTGCTGGAGAGGATGTGGAGAAATAGGAACACTTTGACACTGTTGGTGGGACTGTAAGCTAGTTCAACCATTGTGGAAGTCAGTGTGGCGATTCCTCAGGGATCTAGAACTAGAAATACCATTTGACCCAGCCATCCCATTACTGGGTATATACCCAAAGGACTGTAAATCATGCTGCTATAAAGACACATGCACATGTATGTTTATTGCGGCACTATTCACAATAGCAAAGACTTGGAACCAACCCAAATGTCCAACAATGATAGACTGGATTAAGAAAATGTGGCAATATACTCCATGGAATACTATGCAGCCACAAAAAAATGATGAGTTCATGTCCTTTGTAGGGACATGGATGAAATTGGAAATCATCATTCTCAGTAAACTATCTCAAGAACAAAATACCAAACACCGCATATTCTCACTCATAGGTGGGAATTGAACAATGAGAACACATGGACGCAGGAAGGGGAACATCACACTCTGGGGACTGTGGTGGGGTGGGGGGAGGGGGGAGGGATAGCATTAGGAGATATACCTAATGCTAAATGACGAGTTAATGGGTGCAGCACAGCAGCATGGCACATGTATACATATGTAACTAACCTGCACATTGTGCACATGTACCCTAAAACTCAAAGTATAATAATAAAAAATAAAATTAAAAAAAAAAAAACCTAGCACTGACAAATACAAATCTTAAAAGCAACTCTGAGCATGCTGGTCTACTGCTCAAAAGCTTAAGCACCTCCCATCATCTACAGAATATCCCAAATTTCACTGCCTAGCTTTCAAGGTATTCTACCATCTGATCCAATTTACTCTTTTGATGTTATTTCCAATAACTTCCCTTTGGGCACTCTCTATCTCAGCCAAACTGCAATAATCAGTGCTCTCTACACACACGTTACATTTTCCTTCCTTCACATGTTCACATAATCCACTGTGCTTGAATAACCTTCCTCAAATGTGAATGTCTAAATCACACTCCACTGGACATTGTAGGCTGCCTACTCAGGATCCATTCTCCCTTTCCCATCCCCAACAGTACACATAAGCTCACTGTAATATCCCAAAATTCTCCATCATGCAGCTGAATACTCAGGGAAAATCAAGCCCCATTTTCAGCTCCAGGGATGAACCTTGGCTCACTTAGGCCAGTATGCCCATTCCTTCATCCTGGCCTCAGGTTAAGGGCAAATTTTTAACCTACACACACCAATCAAGGTAGCTCTCAGAACACTTTCTTGAAATACTGGGTCAGTGTCTCTTCTGGAGATTGTGGTGCACAGTTGTGAGTTTCAGAACTCACTCCTGCCACCCTCCTACTAGTCAGGGAAAAGATCTCAGGTGATAGAGCAGAGAGAGATAAAGCAGAGGCTCTAATGAACTGTGTCTGTGCTCACCCTTTTAGTGACACAAGCTAAGAAATCCCCTGTGTTGTTTAAGATACTTTGATTTGGGTTACTTGCAGTCAAAAACATTTTAAAATGATATGCATACACAGACTTAAGGACCAAATTCTAATATAACTTATTCAGTGGTGATTCCTTTACTTAATAGAGCTGGAGATAATCTCTTCTTTTTTTATATTCACTTTATAGTGTTTATATTCTACCTATTTAATGCATTAGCATCTATAGTACATTTATCATAGCTACTTCCTTAGACTGCAAGCCCTTTAATGCCAGATCCATGTCTAACTCATCTTGTTATCTTTCACTGTGTAAATGTAAATACAAATTTACATTGTAAAGATTGAAAAAATAATTGTTTAATACTAAATAACTGAGTGCTTAAATAACTGAACAAATGGAAAAGAATCTATTGATGTAATGATCTCCTAGACTGAATTATGTTTTAATAAAAATATAAAATGATTATGAGTTTGCTCTCCAGGTGTACTCTTTGTATCATTAGTTTTCTTAATCACACAAAGTATTCTGACAGTCTATCAATTTATTCTAGATTTTTAAGATTTAAAAGCATTAAGAAAAAGGGTGTATATTAAATATTAAATGCCTGTTAATCTCTTTTGTAGCTTGAATATCCACATTTGATTTTAAATGATTGATCTAAAAGTTAAATTACAAAGAAAGACACCCAAATGGTAGACTTTATAGAAATCATCTTAAAGCTAAACATTTTAAAACAATTGAATATTAAGCCTAATAATCTAAATAAATACCTAAATTAAAATTGATACATATATCTTTATGAAGAAACCATATATCATTATGTTCATTAATAAATCTAAAATATAGTAGCAAGAATATATTAAAATGCTACCTGTACAATTTTACCTCTGGTGGCTTTTATTATTCCATTTCTTTTATTCACTATCATTTCATTTTGTATAAGTACGATTTTCTTAGGTACATTTGAAAGTGTTCCAGGCCTGGATTTTCATTATTCAGTGATAGGAGGACTTTAGTTCTAATTGCTTTGACAGCTTTTCTTTAAATCTTTCATATTCTCATTCATGCTAATCAACCAAGCAAGTCTTTGTCAGGCCAGAGCAGGGTTGTGGAACCTTTTATTAAATCAAATGCTTCGCTTTTGTGAGGAGGAAAAAAAAATAACAATCTATTCAAAAAGATTTTAGTAATATTTTAAATAAACTCCAACTGCAAAGCAATAAAATAATTCAGAATGATGAGATACATTGGATACATTTATTCACTGACCTAATAATAACTACTTGAATCCTTAAATACACAAACTGATTATTAAAGACATCTATATATAAATATTAAACCCAGTGCACAGCTTCAAATGTGTTTTCTATATGGATATTTACATAGAATAGAGCTGGCTTACTTAGTAAAGCATTGGTTTTTCTTCTTAATAATTACATTGTCCTATACATAAAATGATCACTGTGGTCAGTACTGGTTTTAACAACAAATTGCTTATTACATTTAGGACATTGATAAGAGTGATGAAGATGAATGAGGTACAATTACAAGTAAATGTTTATATGTTCAAAATGCTTCATGAGCTGGTAATAATCTTTTTTAAAAAACAAAAGGTGCGTTTTCTACACATACACAGTGGTCACAAGTCATGCATCTCTTATACTTAAAGCAGCAAGATGCAGTATTATTGACATCCTTTCCCCACTAATAACTACGTAGGAATTCACCAAATGTGTGAAACCCCACTTTTTTTGCCCACATTTGCAACAGTGACTGATGTTACTATGGGAGTCGCTATTAAAAAAAGAACAGAAAAATAAATAGGAAACTCAGGCTAACTAATAATGATATTTTACTCATTTGGAAAACTGAATACACTTGGTACCCACAGGGTTTGGTTCCAGGACTCCCCGCAGATACCAGAATCTGCACATATTCAAGTTACTTCAGTTGGTCCTGTAGAATTAGCAGATAGGAAAAATCAGCCCTTGCTATTATGTGGGTTTTTCATTGCACGAATATATTCAATCCATGTTTGGTTGAGGATGTGGTTATCCCCTATATGGAGGGCCAACCCTACTTATTGCAAAAATCCACATTTAAATGGACCCATGCAGTTAGCCCATTTTGTTCAAGGGTCAACTTTATAGCTCATGAAGTCAACATAAACACTGGTGATTTCCAACTTCCTTATGGCATTGACCTGTCAATAAAAGTTTCTTATTATTTTACTCCAAAAAACATTAAATGATTGCTTTTACATACAATGCAGACTTAACTTGAATATGAAAAATATATTGCTCTTTTTTTCTTTACTGAATGTTTCTATTTTTCCTGCATCATTAAATATCTTAAGCAAAGTTCAAGAGCACTAAGTTTATAATAATAAAATTTTCAGCTAAGAACAAGTCTGTTTCTGATTTTCAAACACTACCTAAAGAAGTATCATGGTTTAGATTATTATATACAGTTTTTCCAAAATTGTCATATAGAGGCCAAAGATATTCGTAAGTTTATTTTTAATTTCAATTACTTGCTTTCCCTTTCTCAAAGATTAACACATTTTTTAAGTATAACTGAATGTTGAGATTGTCTTAGAGAAATCTCAGACTAGTCCACCTGATTTGAGTAATTTCCCAGTTGATGCTGGATTAATGGCACTACCTCCAATATAAAAGTCAAGCATAGAAATGGACAATTTCATCAATATTAGACTCCCATTGTTCTTCAAAGGGCAATGAAATGGCTTTGCCTGAAAACAGCAACAATAAAATAGCAAATGTTCATGAACAAAACTTTGGTTAGCCTCCATGTATATAGGGTGAGGTGGTTGAGAGCCCTACTGCATGGATTGGCCCCTTCTGCTCTACTACTTTCTAACTCTTTGAACTTGGGCTATTTACTCAGCATATCTATCCTTCCATATCCTCATCTTCAAAATAAGAAAAATATCACCTACTTCATAAGGTTATTGTGATGATTAAATGCATTACTATATGTAAAATTCTTAGAACAGTAGCTGGTAAATACTGACAGCTGTTATCAGTATTTGGTGTTGCCTGCAATTACAAACATCATGGGATTTCGGAAATAGATGTCATAAGAAACACTGATAAAATTCTAACAAAGCCAAAGTGCCTTTCATATTCTAAAATGCATGTCATTATTCATGTCTTTTAGTTAGGGTGTGACCTACTTGTAAAAATAAGCATAAGATTGACTCAAGAGGTTAAAAGACAGTATTCCAATGCCTATGCCTTCTAGGAGGAAAGTAGACGTATAGGTATGCTTGAGTTACAGGTTCAGCTTGATAGCTCCACAGAATAAGATAGAGAAAAAAAATAAGTCAGCTAAAGCCAGAAGTACTAATTACACAGTGACATCATAGGTAAAACATTTGATTTCCAATCCTCAGGTTTGTCCATTGCAAAACTGAAATCAAAATAATTGTACAGTGAGGTTCAAATGAGATAGAGTTTGGGAAAAAAGATGACAGACTATAAAACTTCTGAGGAATGCTTTGTTCCTGGTTGTTATGGCAGGTAGGTAAATTCCTATCTCTCTGATCCTTCTCTCTAACCAAGAAGCCCTTTACTCTACGACCAGGATCACATCTATATCAACCTTGTACTACCATATCCTAGACAATATGCATTTCTTTGTGCCTTTTGTTTGTTTTATAATGTTGTCAATCCAAGTATACTAACAATGCAAAAAAACTGTACAATTTTTTTCTTGATTGAATATTTTCAAGAGACTAATACTGGGCTTTTCTAAATAAATTCATGGATACTCTAGTGGATCCACAAACTATCAGAAATTACAAGTACTATTATTTTTCTTATGCACATGTGTTTATTTGAGTGAAAAATATAAACCATTAATTTCTTTAACTCCTAAAGGTTGCCTATAACTATAAAATTTAAATTATAATTACATACAATTATTATTATTATCATTTTGAGACAGGGTATTGCTGTATAGCCCAGGCTGGAGTGCAGTGGCTCAATCTTGGCTCACTGCAACCTCCACCTCCCAGGATCAAGCAATTCTTATGCCTCAGCATCCCAAGTAGCTGGGATTACAAGCAAGCGTTACCATGCCCAGCTAATTTTTGTATTTTTAGTAGAAACAGGGTTTTGCCATGTTGGCCAGGCTGGTCTGAAACTCCCGACCTCAAGTGATCTATCCATCTCGGCCTCCCAAAGTGCTAGGATTACAGGAGTCAGCCACCATGCCCGGCCTTTTATAAAATTATTTAAATTGTTATAATTATACTCTTCAAATGAATTATGTTGATCACAATCACATTCTAACCTACATAGCATATGTTCACAATCTTACTTTTTTTTTAAGGGCACATTAGTACAGCCAATATAATGGCATTTCTGTTTTAGAATAAAAATGTGAAAATGTTTTCAAATGTTTGTATTTACGGATGTATTCATATCATTTTCAAACCTGAAATAATTTTGTCATGAAGATTATCAGGATTATAAGCCTCTTGCTTTTAGTACACCTGAATTGTTCAAATGCTACTCACTTTGATGCATAATTAGCACTTGTGCATTTCACAAAATTATCTTTTCAAATTAATCTAGAATAGCCTGTAAGGTACTTGAACATGGCCAATACTACTTTTATATCTATAATTACTAGATGCATATTTTAATAAACCAGAAACAATTCATGGTTTGTAAAGTCTCATTTATAATGGAATACTTTTGACCTAATAAGCAGTTATATAAATTAAACCCAAATAACAACTATTTCACCACAACAAACTGTGTAATCATTGACAAGTTAATGAGTTTTCTGTGTCTCTATTTTTATAAACAACAATGGGGATTAAAAACCTATCTCATAGGGTTGTTGTGAGAATAAAATTAGATCATTAAATTTGAGAAATTTAAAGTGTCTTACACACAGAAAGACACAGTAAAGTGTCTTACACACAGAAAGACACAGTAAAGTGTCTTACACATGGAAAGCATTAAATGACTGTTAAGTTATTAAACAAAGTATTAAAAATAAATAAATACAATAGTAAATAAATAAATCACTGAACAAATGAATTAAACAACTAAGTAAATAAATAAATAAAATAATCAAAATACAAGTCGTAGCCTGAAGACAATTAGAAGAAACATTGTGGTTTGACTTCATAAATTCTTGAGATCATAAAAATGAATATTTAATCTTATGTGTTAATTACTTTTAAAAGAATATCATAGTGTCTTCAAAGGGAAATAATTCATGTGGTTACAGAAACTATTAGCAGCATTGATACTGATTTGACCAAATTCAAACACATAACAGCCCGGTCAAAGTAATGCCACATCTTCAAGTTAAGGAAAATTGATCATCTTCTAGTGAAAAATTTTCAAAAGTGCTGTTCTAAAAGATATATAATCCTCTGTATAAATTATTAAGGTATTTTATGAACATAATCCAATTGTATCAAAATTAGCTAACATAAAATTACACTAAGCCAATTTCGATAACAGTTGAGTTAATAAAATTATTAATACTAAACTAAATTTTCCAAGTTCACAGCCGTATTTTATTATTTAATGTGTATCTTTATTGTGATCTGCTCTTTGAACCGAGTACAAGCTGCTGGACCAAAGCTGCCAGTAATTAGAATGACGGTAGCTGTTTTTCTAGGCTAATTCAGACATTAATATGCACCGTAAAAGAGATGATTTTTAAGAGGAAAAAGATGATCTAAAGATCATGCCCTTTACATTTGTTAAATTTAAACATGAGAACAAGCATAATGTGGGTAAAGTATTATTTTATGCTCCATAAAAATTTAAAGAGACTTTACATATTAAAATATTCCTCTGATCTCCTGTTCTTGCACAGTAGATGTAGATTAAAATTCTACATCTGTGCTATATAAATTGGAGCTCACTTCTCAAAAGACTAGAAATACAAGAATATTAAAAATGAGAAGGTTACAGAATCACACATCAAAAGAGCAGTACTTATCTCACTTGTTCTTTTTCACTACTTTAGCTGAATATTTCACTTTGAAACATTTTTCCCACTTAAAGTTTATTTTCTTTTTAAGTCTTGGGAAGGTAAGAGTATTAATTCATAGATAATAACAGTTAGCTTCCTGCAAATGCCAATTATCAAGCCATATAATAGTGCTTCAGAGATTATTTCAACAAATCTTCAGCTGTTTATTTGTCAATGTCACAGGGAAAAAAAGGTACCCTAAGACAATGCCTATGAGTGCATAGATCAGCATTATATGAAAATTCTGGCCTTTTAAAATTTTTTATAATCTGTTCAATTGTTTTGTTTTTATTGCACATATTAGGCAAGGATGCTTAATTTTAGCTCCAGATTTTAAAAACTCCAAAGAATGAAGACATGATAAAAGAAAAAGTAGAATTTTGATTACAAAACACTTCACAGATAGAAAATGTTAATACAGTCAAAACAACAATGAAAACTCTGTAACCTATCTTAAGACAATGACTGCATAAAGATCATATTCCCTCACAGTTTAGGCATCTATAGCCAGTTCCTATAAACACAGATGTGAACATAAAAAACAAAATCACGCTTGACACAATAGATATTGAAATGTTAAATACGGTGAGTCAGCCCAAGCCTACAGACAATGTAAATCCAACTATGGATGCAGAGCATGAAACTGAAAAGCACACTGATACAGCAATGAAATTGTATTTTAAAGGCAGCAACATATGACACAAAAAGCAGGCAGGAGTACACTTATTGTTTCTTTTACACTTCCTAATTTTATAATGTGACTCTTTAATTATTTATGAGTTATTTTGATTATGTGGCATTCCACAATCACTTACATGGAGTTACCTTATGCATAAAAAATGATGTATTTTGTTTGTTAAATTGAAAAGGTACCCTATTTCTCTGAGATTTTTATTTAAAATCTAATTGGGGCCTATGAGATTAGAATATTTTAAAGGTAGAAAGTAACATAAAAATAGAATTAGCATTTCAAATGTCATCTATAAAGCAAAGAGAAATAGATTCTTTGACTTTTTATCATAATACTTGATACCTGGAAGTTTACGGGCCATCATGCTTTTATAATCAAAATTAAACTATAGGTAGCCAGAAAATAGATTGCTTATTGAAACGAAAATAATGGTCGTAAAATTTTGTAGAAATAATACTCAGCAGTAATTAATTTAGATGAGCTGATCTCTTTGGTTGGTTTTCAGAATATTACATAATAACAGATTAATAGTGGATAATACAAAAAGTAAACAATTATCAAAATGAATAAATGGGGCATTTGAACTCACAAAGAGGAACCTAAGCATTAGAATAAAATAATTTACATAAAAATTTTCCCATAATGCATAAAATACTACATAGTCTGAATATCTGAAATTCGCTGCATGTAATTGTGAAAGCAAAAATTCCTATTTGATTATTATACTGTATTCTTGAAACACTTTAAATAGTCCAGGTAATCTAGAATCCAGTTGTTATTAATGACTGAAATGATGACTAGATATGTTTTAACTATATTCCACTACTTTTTCACATTTTTCCCTCACTGCTTAAACAGGAGTTTACTCAGCTGTTTACTGTGTGCATTGAGTAAATTTGAGTCCACATTCATAAACACCTCAATAATTTATATCCAAGGCAGTCGCAGTGAAACAGTTATTCATAATGCATAGTGGGATGAATGTTACAAGAGCTATATGTTGATCATCCACAGGTACTTGACTTAATGATATTTTACTTTAAATAATCTAGCTACCTATATGTCATATTTAATAGGAAACAGCAAAGATGTCATCCACAATTAATCCAATGAATAGCAGCACACTTTTCCTTCCACAATCAAGTTTCCCTGGCAAGAATATAAACATTACCTAGCTATAATTTGAACAGGCAAGGTATGGGAGCACATTCAGGAAAGCTGTGAATTATAATAAAATGAAATTTCAAGAAACAAATCCAAATTTTGAGAGAAAAAAGCAGTAGATGGAACAACCTGACAAGTAACAAGTGATTTATATCTTTCCCTTTTAAAAAGATATCTTACAGTTTGGATGCTGAAGTGGCTTTACAAGTAATGGGAATACAGACCAGGAAATGTGATGATAACAAAGGAGATGTGGACAAGGATTGGTGGCTCATGCCTGTAATCCCAACACTTTGGGAGGCTGAGGTGGGAGGACTGCTTGAGCCCAGGAGTTCAAGACAAACCTAAGTAACATAAGGAGACCCTGTCTCTATAAATAACAACAACAAAACATGACTTGGGTATGGTGACACATGCCTGTGGTCCCAGCTACTTGGGAGGCTGAGGTGGGAGGATTGCTTGAGCCCGGGAGTTCAAGGCTGCAGTGAGCTATGATCACACCACTGCACTCCAGCTTGGGTGACAGAACAAGACTCTATCTCAGAAAAAAAAAAAAAAAAGTAGGAATGGAGAAGTAAAATAATTGATTCTAGGAAGCATATTCAAGACTTAGTTGTTAAAAAAGAAAAAAGAAAAGTTAATTTATTCAATAATCCATTCATTCAACAAAAATTTACTGAATACTTGATGTATTCTATAATGGTATATTAATACCTGGTGTGTGTGTGTGTGTGTGTGTGTGTGTGTGTGTGTATGTGTGTACTTGCTAGGAAACAGAAATACAATGGTGGAAAAAACCAAACATGAACTGTGTTCTCAGGAAGTTTATGGTCTAAGAAAAAAGATATTATTTAAATAATCTGACAAATGATTATAAAATTGCAGCTACCTTAAAGACTATGAAAGAAAGGTATATGGTACATGGTAGTGAGAGTTTAAAATAGCATGAAGACATGATGCTTGACTTGAGAGATGAAGCTTGAGAAGAAATTGGCTTAATACGGCAGGAATGGGAGACCATTCCAGGCAGAGGGAAGAACAAAAACATGTTTGCTGGAACTGATGTTTGCAGTAACACAGTTACTTCTCATTGTCTGTCTTCCTCCCCTTCAAATGAGCCAAGAATTACAACCACCATCATACCAGATATTTGCTTAGAAAGCCCAATGTACAAAAAAGTAAGGCTTCCTCACTTTTCATACATCCAACATTAGCACTAGGAAGTGACAAATAGTGGATATTAAATAAAAATTAAGTGATTTCATGTAAATTTGCCGAACTCCTGCTATTGCAATATATGTGTTATTTTATTCTGAAAAACTGGGCAATAAATATAACAGGGATAATAAAAAAATAGAACTGTAGCAGAAACATTTAAAATCTATGCAATTTATAACACAAAGTTCTAACCAAAACCATAACAATTTTTATAAAAATCCTATATGCCTAAAAGGACATGTAAAATTCTCAGTAAAGAAAAGAAATAATACAGAGAATACATAAATTTTCTCTTTAAAAAAAAGTGAAGGTAGCCAGAGGCTGCAGGGATCAAGAAAAACCGCACAATAAGCACTTTCAAAGCTAAAATTGTGGCTTACTCATACCAAAAAAAAAAAAAGTGGTAAATAAATAAAACGATATCCCTCTGCTGTATTGTGCATTTGCCTGTATTAGTATATTTTGCATTCAGCTGTAGTTATTTGGCAAAGCTAAATATGATTATGCTTGGGGAAAAACACACATGAAAGAACTTCCACATTTTACTAACACAATTCCCCTATTTACCCATCATGTTGGAGCTAATTCCCACTACAGAAAAATGCATTGTTGCAGAACAGACTGTACTTAATTGTCTGGTGCCAAGCAGGTATTGCTCACAACTCAGAGTGCTGCAAAAGAAACTCCCCAGGAGGGTTAAAGTCGTCATGGAAGGTTTCATGGACTTAGGCCTGTAATGACAGCTGAGATTTGCATAAACAAAAAGGATTAAATGCATATGCTTTGTGTGTGAGGGTGCTCTAAGTTACATGACCTTAACAAAGTAGAAGATCTGTGTTTGGATTAACAAAGTGTGGTGAGCTCACAAAGGGCCTCCAAAGCCAGGCAGACAAATCCATATTCATTGAATAAAAACACAGAAACACAATGTAGTTTTGGAATAGGAAGGCATTAAAAATACCTATTTAGAGCCAGTAAAGCAAATGTTTATTACTCTATGCTACATGAAGAGCAAGACTATCAATAAAACGTGACAGTCCACTTGTCATGGCTCTCTGGGCATATATTGAATCACCTTTGCAAAGGTCGAGTACAGGTACAAACCCATTAATGTGCTAAAATAAATGTATGCATAGTCAACATTGTCCAAATTAAGTTGACCTGCAGTGGGCAAGCATACCTTTCAGGATCCTATTTTACACACAACATATCCTTAAACTAACAAGTGTAATAACTTGGCATATTAGCCTTGACATAAGGGGTTTTTGGAGGGGCATTGCTCATGGGTAAAATGACATTTCATCGGCAAAGTTGGAAATGTGCATTTTCATTCTGCAACTTTATTTACCAGTCAGTCATCTAACACACTTGTGGCTCTTCCACTAGAGTTGTTAACAAACTTAAAAGACACAGTCTCCTCATTCATTTTTTAAAAATTATTCAATTGCATAGCATTGTCTCTTGCACATATTGCATGTTAAATAAATGATAAAGAACAAATGATGACCTGTGTCTTTGTATACCAATAACTAACCAATGCTAAAATATCTCTGACCAAAGAAAATGTATACACTAACATATTATGTAAAACAGAAAGAGCTTAACATATTACCTTTCATCCCTTGTTTTAGTTAATTTTATGTATCAACTTGGCTGGGCTATAATGCCCAGTTGTTTGATAAAACATTGCTCCGGATGTTAGTGTAAAGGTATCTTGTAGATGTGATTAATATGTACAATCATTTAAGTAAAGCAGATTACCCTTGATAATGTGGGGTGGGTCTCATCTAATGAGTTGAAGGCATCAAGAATAAAAACTGATGTTTGCTGGAAAAGAAAGAATTCTGCCTCAAAACTGTAATATAAAAATCCTGCCTGAGTTTCCAGCCTTCCAGTCGGTTCTACAGATTTCAGTCATGTAAGCCAATTACTTAAAATTAGTCTTTCAATAGGTAGACAGACAATAGATAGATAGATAGATAGATAGATAGATAGATAGATAGATATCTTGCTGGGTTTCTCTGGAGAACACTAAACCCTTCATTCTAAAAAAGTAGACCAAGGCCGGGCGCGGTGGCTCACTCCGGTAATCCCAGCACTTTGGGAGGCTGAGGCGGGCAGATCACGAGGTCAGGAGATCGAGACCATCCTGGCCAATATAGTGAAACCCCATCTCTACTAAAAATACAAAAAAATTAGCCGGGCTTGGTGGCGCATGCCTGTAATCCCAGCTACTCAGGAGGCAGAGGCAGGAGAATCCCTTGAACCAGGGAGTTGGAGGTTACAGTGAGCCAAGATCGCACCACAGCACTCTAGCCTGGCAACAGAGCAAGACTCCGTCTCAAAAAAAAAAAAAAAAAAAAAAAAAAGTAGACCAAAAATACCTGATTGGAAGTAAGTTATACAAGACAGTTTTCATAAGAAATTAATTACTACATACCTGTGTACATGTGTACGTACACACATATAACAAAGATTGATACAAGTTTGTCTTCATGTCAAAAAATATTCCAGTAAAAAATTTTTAATTCAATAAAATTTGTTTTTGATGTGAGTGTGAACTGAACTACTTTCCTTTGTCAAAGAAGAATGTAATCTCAGCAGGACCCCATCTTTCTATAAACACACTCTAAAATCAAAGACAATCATCACTTCTGGTCCCTAAGGAGTCCTAAACTTGAGTGAGTACTGAGGATTCCTAGGGCTATATTTACACAACACAAATGATTCAGATGATTGCGAAAATTCATCCCTTTAAGTTTCACTACAAAACACCTAAATTTTGCGCACACATGCTAACTCTTGAAAGGGTTTTAAGGCAACTTTTATTTTAGATAGATTAAACATAGTTTTTATTATGTATATTTCAGCTCTAGTAATACTTAGAAAATAGCACAAGTGGCTTTTAATCAATGCAATTAATGATGACCATATTATTTGACATAATTGTAAATATTTAGCAAAGAAATTTTAGGTTTTTAAATAATCAGTTTATTCAAGATGATTACCGAGATCTTTTGCTTTATTCATTTTTCATTTTCATACTTTTATTTACTTCTTTACTTTTGAGATGGAGTCTCACTCTGTCGCCCAGGTTGGAGTGCAAGTGGCATGATCTCAGCTCACTGTAACCTCCTCCTCTGAATTCAAGCAATTCTCCTGCCTCAGCCTCCCAAGTAGCTGAGATTACAGATACCTGCCACCACACCTGGCTAATTTTTGTTTGTTTGTTTGTTTAGTAGAGACAGAGTTCATCATGTTGTCCAGGCTGGTCTCGAACTCCTGACCTCAGGTGATCTGCCCGCATCCGCCTTCCAAAGTGCTAGGATTACAGGCATGAGCCACTGCACCGAGCTTCATTTTCATACTTTTACACCTGTTATTCTGAATCCACATTATTTCTCTGAGTGACACAATTGTGTTCTCAAGGAAAAAAATTACCAAGAAATACAGCTTTTCTTTTTCTACTTCATAATTGGAACATTACTGTTGGCAATACGTGAAAAAAATAGAATAAAATAAAATAAAACAGGAAACAGGAACATATGACCTGAAGGATAGATAGTATATATACTTCAAAAACATGAAAGCTAGAACTATAAAGTGAAAATACACTCCATCTAAAGGTCACACAGCTATTTTCTATGGCTTATGCACTTGGAATACAGGGAATTTCTGACCAAAATAGAAACCATGGAACCTAAACTGTTCAGAAAATATCCCTATAAGGGAAAATATATACAGGCACATAATTTACCAACATCATGCAAAACTGACCAGCAGATCAATACCACACTAGTGACAGGATATCTTTTATGTAAATAAGAGTTTCTCTATGATGACTTAGTCCCTTTTTGCCACATTGGAAACTTAGGGCAATGATGTGAGGAGGCAGGTTGGAGATCTGGAAACAAGCACACTCACTCTGTGTAGCAAGCTAGGATGTCACTAACATGGCTACTAGAAGAAACAGACAAACAAAAAAAAAGTCTACCAACTTCTGTTCTCAACAAGGACCATCAATTATATGGGGACAGGAAACATACTGGGTTTCATTAACTGATACATGCATAGGGCCTAGTAACATTTGTTTACTGAATGAAAGAATTCTGACAGCCTCACATGACCTCAGATTTGTCAACATTTCAAAATGTGAATCTGGGCTGTATAAAGTGGAAGAAAATGCCATATTCCAAAGGTCTTAAAAAGTGAACATGGAGTTAATGGGTGCAGCACACCAACATGGCACATGTATACATATGTAACAAACCTGCACCTTGTGCATATGTACCCTAGAACTTAAAGTAAAATAATTAAAAAAAAAAAAGTGAACATGGAGTAGGTGTTCAGGATTTTGGTTTGAGGAAGTGACAAAACCAACTCTCCTTTGATCTCCATTCTCCAAATTGGCCTGTGCCACTGCTTCTTGCTTCCCTAGACCTCACTAACCCCTAATGCATGTAGTTTAGCTGCCACCATTCCTCCAGTCCTTTCATTTACTTTAAGAATTTTAGCCAGTGTTGGCTATTCAGCTCCAAATTAAGAACAAATTTTCAGTCTATGAAATAGCCAGGGAGGGCAGTGTTCAAAGTGAGCCTAGGGTAGGATTCAGAACAGTGGTTAGCACTGGAAGTAGTTCACATAATGCCGACAAAATTCATGTCATTCTTAGTTGGGCGTAGTGGGGCGCACCTGTAATCCCAGCTACTCGGGAGGCATAAGTGAGAGGATCACTTGATCCCAGGAGTTTGAGGCTGTATTGAGATATGACTGTGCCACTGCACTCTGGCCTACGTGACAGAGCAAGACTTTGCCTCAAAAAAAAATTTAAAAAAGAAATCCACGTCACTCTTAAGTAGTAGTGCATTTATTCATCCATTTCTCACTTCCATACTGAGTATCTTTACACCTCTGGTTTAGACCAGCTGGTGGGGAAAGAGAATAAAATAAAATAAAAACCCTGCCCTCATAGAGCTCACCATCTACTGAGCATTAAGTACAAACAAGCAGTGAATTATGATACTTTCAATGGAGATTTGATACTAACATACACAGAATATTACTGGAACTCAGAATATGCTTCTTATGTGGAATTGAGATGGGCTTCCATGAGTTTACTTTTAAAAAGAACTTTGAAGGGCCTACTAGAATAAGCCAAATGATGGAAGGTTAGTAACTGCAGTTAAGTAACGTAGCATCTGCAACAGCAGACTCTATGATTAACGTAAACAAAAACGGCATGTTTTGCATTTTTGCAAGAGAGGTCAGCAAGATCTAGTACCCTGGATAGCTCCTCTGCGTCAAAGGTGACTGTGCAGACTGATGGCTAGCAGATTGGAATTGAGATTAGAGAATCTCCAGAACTTCAAATTTACTAATCTGTTTTGTATTCAAATTATAATTCCTTAGCTTTTAAAATATCTCATCCATTTATTTCCTGAACCAGGCCTCTGAGGCTGGGTACTTTCTATATCACCGTCCAATGAACCTGACTCTCCTCAGAAATATCCTGGGAGGCAATACCTTCCTTCTCCTCACTGGATAGTTACCACTCTGGGGTCTTTATCCCCTCTGTGTTCCAAGCCAGGCTAGAATTCATACTATATTGTCCCGATAATCAACGTAAAACTTCCCATTTCAGGTCCCTTCCTCCTATCAGAAACTGAATTGTTGTTGATAATGAAGCTATCTCTCCAATTCCCCTATATTTATACTTTGAAGTACCCTGTAAGGAATACCTCTCAAAAACAATTTTAGTCATAATGTTTCTAAAAGTTTATATACCTGTGTACAAATTTGTAATGTTTCATTTAATGGCCCAGTTTAGTAATCTGTACTTTAATTTTTAAGATTTACATTATGGGAGTCACATTCTGACTTCTGTGGAGCTCATTTATTAATGAGTACTTTTAATATTCCTAGGTCATTTATACATGAATACAATATTACTAGCTGAAAAAGTCAATAATTATTCTTGAGCTATCTGTGCACTAGGTAACATTCCTTTGAAAATTTAAGAATCTTATTGTACAAACTCAGTGGGGTTTTGTTACCTCTAAAATATATTGAAACTTTACCTGAAATAAGTTATTCTTAATTTATATTTATAACAATGAATTTGGGTCTTGTTTAGAGCTAGTATTTTCCTCCTTTTCCTAACTTCTCACCTGATGGTTTCTGGGATATATGCATGGTTTTCTCACTTCGAGCTTTTCCTAAATGTCTTGAAGAATATTGTCTATTATCAAGAAGCACTCACAATCCATTTTATATATTCAGACTTAACGTTTTGGTCCTTTCTATATCTATAAAATAAACAAAACTAAACAGACAAACAAAAACAGTTCTCTAAAGGGATACTTGCCTAGAAATTTAGCCATTTATTTTTGCCATGCCTCTAATTCATGTTTGGTTGGCTTTTATTTGTAAACATGATGTAGGTTTGTAATACATTATTTACTGCTATTGCAAAACACACACACAACAAACATTCATTAACAGATTCATAATATTTGCTTCCAAGAAAGAGCTAATTTCAGTGAATAGGTACATAAATACAACAACTTAGTCTGAATTTGTTTAATAAGAATGGTATATCACTGATATCCCCATAAAGGCTGAATTAGAGTAGTACACTTAGCTAAGCAAACACTTCTTTTTTTACCTTTTCTTTTTTAGAGACAGGGTCTTGCTGTTGCCCAAGCTGGAATGCATGGTGTGATCATAGCTCACTGCAGCCTCGAACTCCTAGGCTCATGCAATCCTCCCACCTCAGCCTCCCAAGTAGCTAGGACCTACAAGAGTGCTCCACCACACCCAGCTAATAAACACTCCTTGAGTACAGGAGCAGTACTAAATTTCACTAATGAACTGGAGAAATTAGAGAAGAAAACTTACTGTGTGGAATAAATTTCGTCAATTTTTCTACATTCTAAATACATAAGATACAAATAAGGTTATGAAGGAGACTGCAGAAGAGTCATATCATCATGAACTTAGGTGACTAGAAAAAGAGAAACAGGCAAACCCTAAAGAATTCATATGCACATTGTGCATATATTTGTACACACATATCACATTTGGACACCAAATAAGATACAGAATTCCAAGTATTTCATTTATTGTGGATTAAGCTGTTCAGTAAACACCATAAGTTATTGGTAATTTATACTTTAAGATAATACCAATAAGAGGTGCATGATTATTTTTGAAACTGACGGACTTCAACTCTATAATAAACATTTATAAAATATTTATTGTCAATGATGATGCATGACTATCTTTCTAGTGGGGCACAGCCAGGTAAGGAAAGGTTACATTCAGCAAAATGAGGCAGTCTGGCGATGGTCCTAAACTGGTACTACAACTGCACTGTCGTTTAGAAAGCACTCCAGAGGCACAGCTGTAAATACTTAGAAAAAGTCTAACCAGTCTAACTATGCAGGAGCAAGGCAATATGCCATAAGTAGTTGGCATCATGGAAATCCAAGAGTGAGTATTGAAATGAAGCATACTTCTAAGAGCTAGCAATGTTTGGAGATCCAGGAAAGTGTTGTGTTTTCTGGTGTCTGCTGGCAGATAAAATGGCTCAGGAAATGAGGTTGTTTCAGAGGCAGGATCCCAGTCTTTTTTTTAAAAAATGAGGTTGTTTCAGAGGCAGGATCCCAGTTGTTGTTTTTTTTCAAAGGGGGGGTCTTGCTCAAATGCTAGGAGGAATAGTGAGATTGGGTAATTTATCAAGATACAGGGCAAAATATTAAGCGAGAAATCAGTTTCAGTTATAGAAGTAAGCCTAATTACTAGAAATACGTTGTAATGTTAGAGTTGAGTTATCAAAGGCTGCTTAATGTTAAGCCACAAAATGTTAGGCTAGAAATCAGTTAATTTTTCATTATATAGAAAGAATGCTTCCGAATCAGGAGCATGGTTAAGGCTCAAGTTAGAGTTCATTCTTCCAGTAACAGAAATAGATTTTGACAAAAGCTACAAAATAAGCCATAAGTGAAAAATTAGTTAAAAAAACATTTTTTAATCCTTGATATTATTAATCTAGTTTTATTCATGGTTTTGACTGATTTAAACACATTATAAAATATATATAACTTTGTATAGTCTTGAAGAGAGTTTCAAAATAACCAAATTTAACTTTCTGTCCATTTACTTCTATGAAATCAGCCTTTAAATATATCCTTTGCTACAAATATGTGAACACTGATTAAATCCACAGTTAAATAGATGAACTGAAGAATAAAAGTTAAAAGAAACTAAATTAAATCTGATAGCAGCAGTGAACATATTTCCTTTTCATGGAAGGAAAGCTAGATTCATAACTTGTGCATAAGCTCAACTTTTCTTAAGCAACATGCTCAAAGCTCTGCATGAACCTTTCCAGAAGATAAGCTGCATAACTTCAAATATGAAGTGGAATATCTAATGTCTGAACTTTCTCTGCATGAACGCACACATTCACAAAATTATACTTGGTTACATCTTAAATTTTCATTAAAGAGTTCAGTGATTCTGACTAAATAGAGTAAGAGAAGTGTGGTTGAATGGCACTGAGAGTGCACAATATCCCCACTGAAAATAGCAATAAGAAGATGGGAGTACCAGCCTTGCAGGTCCTCCATCTCCAAGTCCTCAGTGACCCAAGAAGCAATGGCAGCATCATTCAAGATGGTGGCAAAAGGACAGGTAATACACAGATATTGCTGCTGGGCCCTTGGTTAAATTAGGAAGAAAGAGGAGATATACTCCTTCAGAGTTTCTCTGTTTATGAGTTTCATAATTTTTGCATCATTATCACTTTAAAAATCAAAGTTTGGTCTATATAGTTTAGCAGACCATAGAACAGAGACTCGGTTTCCTCATCTCTAATATATGCATCAAACTAACTTTACAATGTTAGAATGACATGACATAACATTATAAAGTGTATATCATGTAAGAAGTGTCCAGCACATTACAGTCATTGCTATTGTTGTTAATAAAATAATATTTCATAATTTGCAAAACAGGAAATACCTATGTTTGCAAAAATTCTAAGACTCCCCTTATTTTTAATATTTCTTAAGGTTTCTTTCTTTGGAAAAAATAAAACATTCTCAGAATGAAGGCAAAGAAGCTCAGTTATTTATTCATATATTCTTTTAGGCACTATTTATCAGGCGTCTACTATGTGCTGGACATTGCTAACACTGATGAAGCAATACTGAACCAATCATACAAAACAGGTAAAATTTAAACTGCCAAAAGTACCACAAGGAAGAGGAACATAATGCAAAACTATATATAACAGGGCAACCGATGTAGAAAACAAGGCCAAGAAAGGTATCCCTAGGGAAGTGATGATTGAAATAGAGAAGCAAGGGTTCGGTGGAAAGGGAGAGAAACAGTGGTATAAAGGTGATACAGGATGTGAACACATTATATTTAAGCTTGAAAGACGTAGAGCTATGGTCCAAAATTTATTTCAGCAGTGGGACTTAGAATATTTCATGTGTGATATTATTATTGTACAGCTA